>NC_000016.10:61835227-62138257 GCF_000001405.40 Homo sapiens
GAGGATCATTCCACTATCTCAATGTGTAAAAATTACTTCCTTACATGTGAGTTTCCTGTTTTATAATGTAGCATATTCTTAGACTAAAAAAACTACAGCTTCTTAATTATCCCACTGTGTAGATCACAGCCATCTCTATATCCATATCCATATGGAATAACATATGAAATCCCTGCAAGTGAATTAACTATTATATCACGTCTCTATATTTTTACTCCCAACATGCATAGTGACTTCGTGTAGACTGTTACTTCTGTAGCTCTTGGATTCCCTGTTAAATAATTCTACACAGGCCACCATTTCCAGTACCAACATATGGCTAGCCAATGACTGATGCTACCTAAATTGCCAATTTTGAGTTACATTGAAATACTTCCAATTATTCCTATTCAGAATTAAGGTGAAATTTCTTTTTTCCTAAATGAAAACATTTCCAGGGACACTTCAATCAAGTGGAATTATTTCTGTGAAGAACATGATGGCACTATTCTTTCCTTAAGCCACAATTCCAATAACTAATTACACGTATAATAAGTATATTATGGTTTAAAAAAGCAAAGTGAAAGTCACTACAAAATTGGATGCTTTCTCCTAGCAATTCAGAACTTAAGCAGAAGAGAACAGCAGAGTTGTAGAGAGAATGGGGCACTGGCCTTGGAGTTACCTACTAAGAAATGGAGCCAGAATTCAGACCTGAATCTGAATACAATTTAGTGACAATTTTCAATTCTTAGAACCTCAGTCTCCTCACTTATAAAACAGACATAGAAATACCCACCTGAGACTTATAAAATAGCACCCGACATAATTCACAGAGTATAATAGGTACTCAAAACAAATTTTAATTGAATTGATCTTATCCCCAATGTTAATGTGGTCCTAATGCCTGTCGTGCTTCAAAGGCCTAGATATCAATCAGACATAGTATATCTGATCGATCAATCAGACATGATCAATCAGGGCCTGTCATATTGATCACAGCCTACCACTACACACAAGCAATACAAGTAGTGTTTTAGGAGCCCAGGTTTGATATGACACAGTGGGTTGGATTTCTGGCTTCTTCACTTCCAGTTGTTGTAAATAACCTGGGAAATTTTCTTAACCTCTCTGAGTCCATGATTTTTCTTCTGCCACATGAAGACAGCACTTACCCCAAAATATTTTTAAAAGATGACTATTAAAGATAAACGCATGATAAAATATTTAGCCAATAATAATTAGCTGATCAACACTGTGATGACAACATCAATAACTACTACCACTACAACCCCTAAGACTACATTATTGTTGTAATTGCACAACTCTGACTGCACAAAGCTGTAAAGACAGAGACAATAATTGCTTCCATTGCTTTAAAACAGGGCAGAAAAGCACAGCTATTTCAATGAGAGATCTTTGGCCAGGGAGGGAGTGTCTTCATTTAATTACGGTAGCTGTCACAATGACCATCGAACATAGACTGACGACTTGTCTAAATTCCCCTCAGAGTAGGACTCAGGAGCTAGACTGAGATATATATATATACTTTCCAGGGCTTTCTACCACTGTCATGCTTCTCCTGGTTTTTCTTTGTCAGCCAAAGAGACTTATAAAACATTGAGATATACAAAAGTGAAAGGTGTTCAAGTACTGAGCGGAGTTACATGCTAGAGGCACTTAAAATTCTGACAACTTGATTCTTTCACAGTAATTCAAAGGGCACAGATCTCACAACTAACCCTGGATAATCTTCTCACCACTCCTTTTGTTCCTTTCAAGCCAATACCCTCCTTGACCCTTTTGTTGCATTCCACAAGTCCTGTTTTTGAAATCCTCCTACATTCTTCTTTGGGGGTGCAGGCTCTCTTTCTTCCCAGTGCAGTGACTTGCCTCTTTCCTCACATTTATCTCTGAAAATAGAATTTCCCTCCTCCTCCTCCTCCCCTTATGCCTCTTCTCAGACAATGCTGCTGCAGGATTCCTGCTTCATCAGATCACTGTCTGTGCAAGACATAGCATCAGCTGTTGGCTCAACATTGCACCTCGTTTTCCCTTTTGCTTATAATCACCGGTTCTCATTTTGCATTTTTTCTTTATGTTTTCATATTTTCCAAAAGAATGTATTTGTACTCATGTAGTCAACACTTTTCAGCTCCCATTCATACACCTAAGAAAGTGGGTGGCACATAAAATCTTGGGTTCTATTTTATACAGATTAAGGAAAAGAAGCGGGATGAGCATACTTAGCCACTGACAAGGAATGAGTTCATCATTCCATAAGTGTTTATCAAACAACTACTGCATATCAAACACTGTTTCAGATAAAGACAGAGAAGGAAGCTGACTTCATAATCTCTACATTCTAAGTGTGGAGGGCAGGGCACTATATTGCAAGTTGCACAGGTGTATGAAACACAGCAAACAGTCACCACAATGTATTGGCTTTCTGGTTCCAGCCTTTCCCTTTATAAAACAGAGAGAGTGTTACTTGCAGACAAAATAAGACAAATATGTGTGATCTGCAGGAGCCATTCATTACTAGTGGTCCTTACGCACATAGACCACATTTTAACTACACTTAGCCCAGGCTGTTTGGGAAACTTGCAATCTAGGTGTGATTATGCCCCAAGATAAAGAGGCAAGCAGAGGGGAATAGATCTCTATGTCCCTCCAGGACAGAGATAGTTAGATCTGTATAAACAAGAGTCTGAGTCTGACCTTCCTTGGAGGGAAGCCGGAGGCAAAAAACACTTAGAACAGAAAGTGAGGTGGATGCTCTAGTTAATAGAGAGTTACTAAACAGAGGGTTAGTAACAGCAGGTTGTTACAGGTCTATTGTACCCTTAGTGACAGTTGTCAAAATACATCACAGCAGTGTTTTTCCAAAGATTAAGTGGCTTGTGCTTTTTATTCTTTATATTAAAATTAACTCTATATCAAATAGGTAATCTTTTTTATCCTTCTCTAGATTTTTAAAGATTACATGACTCTCCTTTGGCTTACACTTCCTGATTCTTATCAGTCTCTTCTCATTCTCCACTGCCTCCTTGCAATATGTGCTCTTTCTTTGAATGTTTTTGTTTCAATGAATCTAAGGGAGATACATATTCTAGGAAAACATATTTGGCATGTGAATGCATGAATGAACGGATATTGAAGTTCCACCTTTCCTAACTGTCTGCTTCCTTCAATTCAACTCAATAAACACTCACTGATTACCTCCTATTTGTCAAGCTTTAGGCTTGGTGGATAGAGGGGTGTCTCCGCAAGATTCTCTGCAGCAAAGATACCCACTGTTGATAAAAGACTGGTTCCCTCAAACTCTTCGTTGCTCATGGTAATTACAGAACCTGAGGTTAATTTGTTTACATTTTCTGTTTTTGTGCTTCTTACAATACAAAGAATGCAAGTCCCTGATTGATTTCTGAGAAACTTGCAGCCATTACTAGCATGTGACATTTTATGCTGTGTAATGCTGAACAAAATACCATCTGTAGAAGTAACCTATATATGTGCATATAAGTTCAACATACAAAAGAAAAAATCATTTTATGCAGAGAAAACATTGTGGGCTAGAACAAAAGCATAAATGTGTCTTCAAATCTGACATTTATGTTTTGAGTAACTTTGAATAAGTCACTAATCCTTTCTAATCATGAAGTCCCTGAATTGTTAAATGAAAAACACTAATCTTTTGTCACTAAAATGATCAAGGGATTAAATCAGGAAATGCATGTAAGGTTGTCTGAAATATATACTTTTCCTGCTTCTTGAAAGTACAGCATAATAAGTGACTTACTCCAAGTCACAGTGCTAGTAAATGACGTTGGAATCTAGAATTTTCTAACTCTAATTCAAATAGCTCTCTCCTTAAGCAATAGTGTAATTCTTTGTCCATCCTCACTGAAAAAAATACATTTCCTGAGATCCCATAAAACACATCAAAATGCATTGTATCATAGATAGGCAGATTGTACTGATGATTATCAAGATCTTTAACTTTTTTTTCCTTTCTGTTTTGCTAGGAATCATTGCCATGTGATGGCCCCGAAGGGTTCCAAAGATAAGACGATGTTGTTGATTCTTTCTGAACCTATCAATCAGCCACTCTTCCCACAGCTGTTTGTCTGATTATTTCATTTTCCCAAAGTGTGAACTTAGTTTTATTGTATTTGTTTTATATATTTAGAGGAAAGTATAAAATAAGCCTGAAGATCTTCATGTATTCAAATGATCTGGTATTATGAAGAAATTCTAGGTTTCCATTTCAATTGTGAGTGGACTTAGAATCCAAAGAAATCTCAGGTGAGCAAATCAGACAGATGATAAATGAATTAAACTTTCTTTCATAATGGTTTTTCATACTTGTGCTACCTCTGTCAAATACTCCAAACTTAACCCTGATCTCTTAGCACCCCACAGCAGGGAAAGAGAAGTGAAGCCATGTTCTCATCTTCCACCTTCCTTAATTCCCCAACTTTGCATAAGGCTAGATAATGTGATTCCAATTAAAGCCATGGAGAGAGCACTTTTAATGAGATAGGGACTAAGGGTTGGAGATATAAAGACAGATGAGATGTAGTTCTCTAGATCTGAAATAGCTCACAGTTCAAATGATGAGGCAAGTGTGAGCAACAGCCGCTAAAAGGCAAATTTATCTCATACCATTTTGGACCTTGCTATTGTGTCTCACTTCACTCCGTTATAACAATTATCACACCAAATTTGTTTTCTATATGTGCTTTTGTTCCTAATTTTTGCATCTACCTTGCCTGCCCCTCTTTGTCAAAATTTGCCAAGACTTTCAGCACCCTCTTTTCTATAAAGGTATTCCTGCTCCAATCTTCCCACACTAAAATACATGACTAATGCCTTGTTTACTCCCCTGATAACTTTTATAAATACCATAAGAATATATAAAAGTGATTTTCATCTTTCCATGTTGCAACAGATCAGTCCTAAGCTTAGAATCCCAACAGCTATTATATCCCAGGCACACTTCATAGACAGTGTGACTATCAGCAAGCCACTTTGTCTCCCTGATCCTGTCCTCCTTGGTAAAAAAAAGCATTGTAATACCTCTCTTCAAATGTCAAATTATTAATGAGCCTTCCTTGACCAACATTTACAAAATAATAACCAATGTCTGTTGGCACTCCTACTCTTTCTCACCCAACCATTGAAGTCTTGGTCCATGTGCATTCTAGTGGGATCAGACAGACAATAAACAAATTGAATTTTTGTTGTTGTTTATTGATGCTTACCCAGCCCCTAGAAAAATACCTGGCACATAATAGTCTCTCAGTATTTCTAAATATTTTTCAATGGCTCAATGCATGAATACTTTTTTTCCTTTATGAGCTTGTAATAAATTGCTATGGCTAAAAGGAACAAGATGATGTCTTTTACAGGGACATGGATGGAGCCAGAAGACATTATCCTCAGCAAACTAACTCAGGAACAGAAAACCAAACACTGCATGTTCTCACTTATAAGTCGTAGATGAACAATGAGAACACATAGACACAGGGAGGGAAACAACACATATTGGGGTCTTTCAGGGGTCAGAGGGAGGGAGAGCATCAGGATAAATAGCTAATGCATGTGGGGCTTAATACCTAGGTGATGGGTTGATAGGTGCAGCAAACCACCATGGCACACATTTACCTATGCAACAAACCTGCATGTCCTGCACATGTATCCCAGAACTTAACATAAAATAAAATAAAATAACTTTTTTTAAAAAATAAAGAAAATAGAAAAGAAAAAATATAAGACATAAATTTAAGTTAAATAAAATAAAATAATGTAGTCCATCAGTTACAGGGGAAAAAACTTGCTATGGCTGAAGAGTACTCCATTGTGTATATCTACTACACTTTCTTTGTCCATTCACCTATTAATGGACACTTAGATTGCTTCCAAATTTTAGCTATTGTAAACAGTGCTGCAACAAGCATAGAAGTGCTAATATTCCTTCGATATTCTTATTTCCTTTTTTTGGGTATATACCCAGCAGTAGGATAGCTGGATCAGATGGTAGCTCAATTTTTAGTTTTTTGAGAAACCTCCAAACTGTTCTCCATAGTGGTTGTCCTAACTTACATTTCCACCAATAATGTACTATTCAGCCATAAAAAGAGAATGAGATCCTGTCATTGGCAACAACATAGATGGAACTGGAGATCATTATGTCAAGTGAAATGAGCCAGGCACAGAAAGACAAACATCACATGTTCTCACTTATTTGTGGAATCTACAAATCAAAACAATTGAACTCATGAACATAATGGTTATCAGAGGCTGGGAAAGGTAGTAAGGGGCTGGGGAGGGAGTGGGGATTGTTAACATCTAGAAAATAAATTGAAAAAATAAGTAAGACCTACTATTTGATAGCACAATAGAGTGACTATAGTCAATAATAATAACTTAATTGTACATTTTAAAATAAAGAGTGTAAGTAGATTGTTTGTAACTCAAAGGATAAATGCTTGAGGGGATGGATACCCCATTCTCCATGATGTGCTTATTTTACTTACATGCTTGTATCAAAACACCTCATATACCCAATAAATATACACACCTACTATGTACCCATGAAATTTTAAATAATAATAAGACAATAAAAATTTAAAAAATGAAGTTTCCCCATCAAAAAATAAAGAAACTTTTGTGATTTGTTTGTTTGTTTGCTTGGAGACGGAGTCTTGCTCTGTCGCCCAGGCTGGAGTGCAGTGGCACGATCTCGGTTCACTGCAAGCTCTGCCTCCCAGGTTCACGCCATTCTCCTGCCTCAGCCTCCTGAGTAGCTGGGACTACAGTTGCCTGCCACCACGCCCGGCTAATTTTTTTTTTTTTTTTTGTATTTTTTGTATTTTTAGTAGAGACGGGATTTCACCATGCTAGCCAGGATGGTCTCGATTTCCTGACCTCGTGATCCGCCCGCCTGGGCCTCCCAAAGTGCTGGCATTACGGGCATGAGCCACCGCACCCAGCCAGAAATTTGTATGGTTTTAATGTTTGCTCCCTCTTCAACTCATGTTGAAATTTAGATGCCATTGTAACAGTATTAAGAATTAGGACATTTAGGAAGTGATTAGGCCATGAGGTCTCTGCTCCCAGGAAAGAATAAATGCCATTATCACAGGAATTGGTTGTTTATAAAAATATGAGTTTGGCCCTGTTTTGTCTCTCCCTCTTGCCCTCTCTTTGCCCCTTTGCCAACTGATGTCTTATGCAGCAACAAGGCCCTCACCAGATGCTGCCACCTAGATCTTGGACTTCCCAGCCTCCAGAACTGTGAACAAATAAACTTTTGTTTATTATAAATTATCCAGTCTGTGGTATTCTGTTATAGAAGCACACAACAGACTAAGGCAGAAATTCTATATGAAAACAAACATATACAAATAGTGACTCCCTTCAGACCTCTTCTGAAGATGTATAGAGGATTAGAGCTGACTTTTCCTGCCTCTTCACCTCTAAGATGGAAAACTCTGGCTACAGAATACTCAAGAGCCAGAGCAGTACTGCCCTACTTAACAGGGAGCTAGGTGGTGTCATTAATTTATGCCTGTGAAACATTCTGAATACCTTAGGATCAAATTACTGTTGTGCTTATTTTCGCTCTTACATAAATATTTGCACATGTGAAAATTCAGCACCTTGACATTTACTGAAATGGTTGCATGGAAAAATGAGGTAAATTGACTCAGAGACAGGTGTTGGCAGTCAGCACAGTGGAAAACAGCCCTTTGTCAAAGTAACAACCATACGTGGTGTAGCAAATGTTCAGAAACCAGGACCTGCTGGAGGTGGATGGGCTAAAGGGTGGCTCTAAAATGATACTTTCTGTCAGCTGCTGTGGGTCTGAACACACAGCCTGGACCCTCTGGTCCTATACTTTATACTTCAGGGCTGCTCCACCAAGATAATAAGGCTGGTATTTGTTTTGTGTATTAAATGTAAACAAGACTCAATTTTACACGCTAAATCATTTTCAAGCCAATGTCTTACGTTACCAACAATTTTCAGTTACAATGGGACTCAGAATTGAGAGATGCGGGATTCAAGACAGTAATATTTGGCTTAATGCCCTTCAGTGACATTTCTCACTTTGGCAGGAAAGGAACTCAAGTAGCTGAGTGAAAATCATGTATGGGTCGCTTTAAATATCTCAGCTTGAACCCTATAATATGCTCTGGAAAGGAGCTATGATCATTCATCCTTAGATATAAAGAAATGGGATCTCAGGGATATGGAATATCTTAGTCAAGGTCATGCAACTAGGAAATGTTGGGGAGAGAAGTGAAACCTAACTCTGACTCCTAAGTTCACATTCAGAACTTTACATACCAAGTTGTCTCCCCTGAAATTCCAAAACACATTGCTTCAAACTTGAATCCTCTCTCTCTCAGAAACAGTGACCACTCAGAGGCTTAGCTTTTGTTTGTTTGTTTGTTTGTTTTTTAAAAAAAGTTTATATGTGTGCAAGTGTCTTTATAGCAGCATGATTTATAATCCTTTGGGTATATACCCAGTAATGGGATGGTTGGGTCAAATGGTATTTCTAGTTCTAGATCCCTGAGGAATCGCCACACTGACTTCCACAATGGTTGAAGTAGTTTACAGTCCCACCAACAGTGTAAAAGTGTTCCTATTTCTCCACATCCTCTCCAGCACCTGTTGTTTCCTGACTTTTTAATGATTGCCATTCTAACTGGTGTGAGATGGTATCTCATTGTGGTTTTGATTTGCATTTCTCTGAGTATGTTTATTGCGGCACTATTCACAATAGCAAAGACTTGGAACCAACCGAAATGTCCAACAACGATAGACTGGATTAAGAAAATGTGGCACATATACACCATGGAATACTATGCAGCCATAAAAAATGATGACTTCATGTCCTTTGTAGGGACATGGATGAAACTGGAAACCATCATTCTCAGCAAACTATCGCAAGGACAAAAAAACAAACACTGCATGTTCTCACTCATAGGTGGGAATTGAACAGTGAGAACACATGGACACAGGAAGGGGAACATCACACACCGGGGACTGTTGTGGGGTGGGGGGAGGGGGGAGGGAGGGATAGCATTAGGAGATATACCTAATGCTAAATGACGAGTTAATGGGTGCAGCACACCAACATGGCACATGTATACATATGTAACAAACCTGCACGTTGTGCACATGTACCCTAAAACTTAAAATATAATAAAGTTTAAAAAAAAGTTTATATGTAAACCAGAGCATTTGTTTGGCTTATTTCCTTCAGCGAATTTTTCAGTTACTTTAGATGACAGTCCTCAATAACCATTTTCCAGGGTATAGGAGGCACATTACTTTAGAGTTCACGTGAAATGTAAATAAGGCAATTCCCATTTTTAAATGCACTTTCTCCAAGTCTATTTTCCAATGTTATAGAAAATGATGTGATCTCAGAATAGATTTCATTATGATGACTCTAGTATTTGATTATTGCAATTTAGTATAACTTGTGGATAGAAAATGAAACTTGATGGGTCAGGGTGGGTTCCTTTCTTCTAACTATTACAGGATAACTAAGGAAAGTTACGTATAGTGAGAAAAAACACGACCTGTGGCACATCAATAATCAGTTTATCAATATCTGATCAATAACAATCTTGTACAGTTATGCCATAAGGGAAAGACTTTAAAAGTATGACTTTGTAAAGTTGGTAAAACCTGGTTATTAAGAATGCCACTTTGATAGCAAGTCAGATTTAAACTCAAATGAATTGACTAAAGTCATACAGAGAGCAAAGTTAATTGTATAAGAACTGTATGGGGCCACTTCTTTCCTTGACCCCATTTGGTAAAGGAAAAACTAAGGACTAGCAAGGTTCATTCCCAGCTATCTCAATTACCAAATATTTTTACCAGCTCTACTGTCCCCTGACACATAGTAAGTCTTTTCTATCATTATAATTTGTGTCTAGGGTTGCTAATTTATACTCTGCTGAGAGTGAAAGCAAGAAAATAAAATCTGCTATTTGTTTCACTTTGTAAACACAGTCATTTATTATTATCTTCATTTACAGCTCATGAATTCATTTGTCCATAAACGGCACAATTAGGCAATCTCAATTTCTGTCTTTAGAAGATCCTCAGGAGTTAGAGTGCAAAGGTGGCTTCTAAGATAAATAATACCACAGCAACAATATTAAAGTTAATGGAATGGAAGGAAAGTTCCAATAGTGCTGTGTCACATACAATAAAACTTTACCGCACGTGAAAACTACCTTTAAAGAAACTCTCCAGATATGTAAAAAAAAAAAAAAAAAAAACTATCTAATTATAGCTATGCTTGCATTCACCAGCCAGTTCAACTCTGTTAACCCTATGAACACTATAATCTCTGATTTACTAAATTCCAAATTTCTGATCCTCATGGTGATATAAAACTGCCTAGCTCATAATAAAACTATCACACTTAAGATTCTGAATGGCAAATTACACATAATCACAAATTGTAAAGTGAGTCTAGTATAGTCCTTAAATCACTTTTCTAGCTTCTCCTTTGTTTTATTTATATAGCCATATGTGTCTTAGATTCTGCCCATGAGAACTCAAAAACTGTCTTTTTCACTTATTTGAAACATAATACCAGACCCATAGGAGTTTGAAAAACCGACTTATCCTGCAGATATCTATTTTAAAAGAATGGGTGTAAAACCTATTTATTTTCATTTTATAACCATGCAATTTTCTAATTGCAAGGGGAAAAAAAGGTAAGCCTACAGATCGGTACTTAAACTCAAAATTACTTTTAAATTAGAGTTTTGCTCCAAGTGGAAAGTCTCATAGCTTTTTAAGGAACGAAGGACTGATTCTCTTGAGACTGAATATGCTTTGCAAATGACTCCATTTTGAATTCCTGTACCCAACATTCCTGAATCATCCATATCCAGATGAATCAAAACTAATGATACTGGTAATTCAAGAATGTTCCATTAAGTTTCCACTTCCCTTTCATAAAATCAAAGTAAAATCATTGAAATAATAATAAATTAATGATCTCATTGCCTTATATGTTTCCTTTATGACACTTTGGATAATAAGCAAGAAAACATCCAATTGGTATAATTTTGGCATAAATTTTTATGATGGCATCTCTCCAGTTCTTTAACCTCCATCAAGTCAAATCTATTTCTACCCCACACATTTTGTCCCTGATAGTGGAGATGATTAATAAGTATCTATTCACTTAATTGAAAATAATTCACTTAATTGAAATTAAAAATTAATCTAAATGAGAGCATCAAGGTGTTTAGAGTACCTGTCTTCTTTTCCTTTGTCCAGACTCCTCTACATTTTGCAGATGGGAAGCCTGATTCAGCGGAGGTGGAAATGTGACAGAAGTGGTCAGAAAACCGAGCTCTGGAGTTTACTACCTGGGTACTTCTCAGAAATTAATTTGCCCAGAGATTTTATTTCCTTACATGAAAAGTAAGGACCATAATACCCACTTCACATAGTTACTAAGAAAATTATTGAAATGGCACAAAATTTGTGATCAATAAATGGTAACTACCTTCTGCTTAATTTTTGGAACAAAATAAAACAGACTGGGATACTCAAGAGTTACATTCCACTGTAATAAATGAGAAGTCACTGCTTCTAGAAGGGAAGAGGAGACACAAAGCATCTAAAGAGAAAACACTAGTGAAATGTTATGAGCTAGTCTTATGTAGAACTTACAGGCGCATCTTTATGTTCCTGGTCCACTATCAACAATCCCATAGCTACTGTTCCCTAATAATCAGATGCTGGGATATATTGAATATGACAAAAGATATATTCTAAGTTTTTAGAAAGCATCCATTTTTGAAATCCAGCATCTCCTGGGATCTGAAATTAAATGTATCAAAATCCTTCTGAAAAAGCCCATTTTTCTAACCATGTTCATTCTGGATTTAACTGTCTGTGTTTGTTTTCTCATTCATGACATATTATTTGAACAACTATCATGAGATGGGCCTGGTTCTAAGCCCTGCAATGCATAGTGAGGAAACCATCCAAGATCCCTGTCCATATGGCACAAACTCTTTTTAAAAAACACAAAAACAATATTTTTGGCACAAAAAGAGAAATTATGGCCTCATGTTTTAGTCCAGAGAAAATTATTTCATAGGGATGTTTCTGAAATTTGACTTTATGAGGAAACAAATTGAGTATTTTCCTCTTCCTTCTACCTCTGCTCTCTTAGTGGATTCTTACTCATGCATCAGAGACTAACTTTGGCTTAAAGAAAAGTGGTCTCCAATGTTAATTAACCCCCTTCTGTAAGCTTCCAATCATTTTATATATATATATATATATATATATATATATGTAATTAATATATAAAATTAATTATGGGAGGTGGGTGGAAACTTATGATGTTTAACTCTCTGTTAAGCAAGAACATTAGATAATCCTTCTCTTTGGAAGTTACATCTAAAGTTACTTTTGCCATAACATTTAAAGCAATTATTGAGCACTGGAGATTTCTGAAAGAATATATTCCATATAGTCTTAAATGCTGAGGATGCAGAGTTAGGTTATAGGAATGGGAAGGAGGGAACTACAACAATAAACATAAAAGATTACTGTCTATATCTATCAATCAATCTGTCTGTCTGTCTATATCTACCAACTATCCTACACACACACACACACACACACAGACAAACACACACACACACACTTTTTTATTGTAAAAGGAGTTATTACAAGTTAACATCCCTTGGATATTGGTTAATCTTTGATGCTGTTAGATAAACATGTTTTCCTATAAAATTAATGAAAACAAACCTTTGTTGTTCTTCACCAAATCATTTTGAACTAGTCATATGAAACAGAGCTAGATTTCCAAGGTCAAAAATGACATCACTATAGGAACCAAATATACAATTTAATTCTGAAGGGACATGATACATAGAAAGCTGAGAAAAAATCCTGATCCTACCTGGTGTGTTCACATTGGATGAATGCCACTGGGGAATACATTTTTTCTTTTGCTTCCAACTAAACCCATCCCAACGCATCCCAGTGTAATATCAGGTGTTACATACTGAGGTGGCTGTGTAGTTCATAGTCTTTCTATCCAGCATGCACATATGCAGACCTTGGTTTCTCCAAATAGACATTTCTTTGACTCTAGCTATGGTCAACACTGGAAAGCTCCTTGTGAACTTCAAAAATGGTTTGTCCAAAGGTGCAAATAACATGACCATCACACCACTTCAAGCTTACCCAAGTATATTTAACTGTTCTATGTGCTTGGAGTGGGGGGATTATTTTAATAATCACAAAACAATTAATATGACCTCAGCCCCTAGTTCATATATTGTATCTTCCACAGAAGACAACAAATGGGAAAATAAGTGATTGTTAAGTCATTGTGTGCACGCAGCTAGCTGTCCTCTTAACTATGAAATGAGCCATAAAAACTGGAGAAGGATGACATTTGTTGGGGGTATACATCTGTATATATTGAGCGGACACCTATTAGAAACTTAAAATTACATTTCGTCACAATCATTATCATCATTTATTTTGGGCATTTCAGACAAATCAATGAGATGTAAAGTTAGGTACAAGTAAAATTAGTCACTTTAGTTTCTCATTATTCTTCTTCAACGTATTAATTCATTAATTTGCCCAACAAATATTTATTGTAAACTATATGTAGAGTTTGACACCTGTTTGGCACTGGCCATATCATTTAACCTCAAAGATCCTCAAAATCTTCATCTTTAATAAGATATGTTAAAATAGCTACTTTACTTGATATAGGGATTAAATAAGAGTGCAAGCAGACACTGGAGACACTGGCCACCAGCACAGTTTGTTGCTACCTACAATTTTTGTTGTAATATTGATTCTTCTATCTGAAATGCAAAGAACATAAGAAAGGCAAGTGTCTTTCTCCATACTCTCTTTTGTCCTAAAACAATAATAGTATCATATGATATTATTCTCCTTCTCTTTAGTTGCTGAGAATGTGTGTATGTGTGTGTGGTGTGTGTTTGAAAGACCTGTCTCCCGCCTGTCTTCTTACTCCAAAAATGTGGAAATCTATGCCCATTACTGCATTAAAAGAAAAAAAAAAAGGAAATTGGATGAAGAGTGCATTAGGAGGAAACCCCACAGGTGACAAAAACCACTCTTTGGCTTCCTCCCAAGTCCTCCTGTCTATTGGCCTTGTGCCTAATATTTACAGGGAGAACTCCTGTGCTATGCCAAGAGGCTTACAAGGGACTCCACATGTAACAGAATTAGCCACCCTTGCACCTCTCCACTCCTGGCTTCCCACTTCATGAGAGGACATAATTTGGAGGGGGTGTGTGATTTTGTAAAGTGAATCAGCTGTGGGATTGGTAGAGCTACCTCATCCTTTAATCAGCACTTGGCATGGAAAGAGGTTCTAGGTCTCCTATGATGTAACTTTCCCAGCAATAGTCAAAATCTTACCTCCACTGCATGTCACTCCTGCCTTTCAAACTTTCAACTCCAAATCCAGCAGTTTTAATGAAAACAGGTGGTTTGTGTGGAACACAGCTGAAGGACTTTTCTACCTACCAACAATGCAAGAGCTTTTGGTTCTTCTAAGTGAAAATGTCCTATCACAAATATCACATTTTGTTTCATTAAATACAAACAAAAATAACAAAAGTAATGATATTAGTGATATCCTTAATTTGTGAAGATCAAAAGCAAATAATGGGACATATATTTTTTCAATATCATGAATGACTAGAAGACAGTGTTAGTGCTCTTAAAAATTGCGTACTTAATGAAGAATTATGTACAAGTGGACTTATATACTATCCATTTTGTGTTGCTATAAAGGAATACCTGAGACTGGGTAATTTACAAAGAAAAGAGGTTTATTTGGCTCATGGTTCTGCAAGCTCTACAAGCATGACACCAGCATCTGCCCGGCTTTTGGTGAGGAAGTTTTACTCATGGCAGAAGGTGAAGAGGGAGCAAGGCATGTCACATGGCAAGACAGGGAGCAAGAAAGAGAGAGGGAGGTGCCAGGCTCCCTTAAACAACCAGCTCTTGCATGAACTAATAGAATGAGAATTAACTCATTACTGAGGGGAGGGCACCAAATCATTCATAAGGGATCTGCCGCCATGACCCAAACACCTCTCACTAGGCCTCACTTCCAACATTGGAGGTCACATTTCAACATAAGATTAGGAGAGGACAAAAAATAATAATAAAATAAAAATAAAAACTGGGTACTTAAGTCACAAGAAGTGAAAGCACACATTCAAAGTCAGACTGAAATTAGTTACGTTTGGATTTCTAAATTGCAGATTACGTTTATTATATATCGAAAAAGTTCTTCAAGTAAAATCTTCTAATACCATTGAGAAAATGAAAACTATTTAATTTCTCAATATCACCCTGATCACCAATTTATCTTTTCCCCTGAGCACACAGCCCTTTGATTTCCTCATGCCAAAAGACCTTATTTAATAGCTCCCCTTACCCCACATTTTCATTTCTTAAACTACCATTAGTTTTTCAGGACATATTCTCTGTTATCACTACTCTAAAAAATACTTTCTTGCTCTTCATACATGTTTGCTAAGTTGGCACTTAGCAAACATCCCTATGTCATGAACCCTATATTATGTGTAGTATTTATCACACACAGCATTTCAATCTTAGTGCCCACAACATGGCAGCATGTAGATATTGACTAAGCATTGAATAATGTGAAGTATGAAGACATTCCCACCTATAAATGTATATCCCAGCATTGTTCATCTGCCTGAGTTTATCTCAGTACCCACCCCTTCTGAAATGTCTTCACTAAGCAAGTTCTTTAGCCAGTCCTCTTGGCACTGGAAATTATAATCTATGCAATCCTGATTAAAAAGAGGCCCTGTGTGTAAGCAATTTATCATTTTGACTCCGAAGGCATAAAAAGGACTCAATTCCATGAAGGCATTCCATGAAGACTCCATGTATTATCTTGATTTTTCTAAGAAAGAACCATTCATTACATGGATTTTTTTTCCCAAGGAATATTTTTTACTTAGCTCATTTTTACAGGTTCCACAGAGACAAATGTTGTTTGTACCCAATGAAGAAAAATGGTCTGAGTTTCAAAAAAAGGTCAATGAATTAACTTAGTTTATTTTTAAGCAGGTTATTTTTCATACTCTCACTTGCCTGGAGCAAAGTTTAGGCTGTTCTGAAACTTTACCCTGGTCTCTTTAGATAATTAAGCATTTATTATTCACTTGCCTTGCATTTTATTTAGATTTTCCATCTTCAATCACCTAGGATGGACTGCATCTGTTTTCTCACTGCTGTCCTCAAATTAGTGCCTTTTAAATAAATGCCACATTTCTCCTTGTCTGTGCCCAAAATATTACAGGCAAACATATGGTATTGGGGGTGGCAGGGAGGGGAAAACAAAAAAAAAACATTTTAAGAATACAAGTAAACTATTTTCAGCCTTTTGAAGTACCATAATAAAAACTATTCACAAGAATGACAATTCATTTTACAATTACTACTGCCTTCCATTTTCTCTGATGCTACACTGTCTCTCCAACACCTATGGATAGAGGAGGCCTGAACCTGCTTCCAAGTTCTTTAGGTCTCTTTTCAAACCAATGTCATTCCCAGGTATGAACTATACTGCTTGAAAGTTAAGTGGGAAGCAAGGGAGAAGGTCAAAAATTGAGGTATGGGATCAGGCAGATTCACCTTGAATCCTGCTTCAAACACCTTGGGCAAGAAACATGCAAGTCAAACTCAGTTGTCTCATCAGTAAAAGTGAGATGACACTAATACCTACCTCAAAATATTGTGTGGAAAAAATTAAATTAAATTCAATAATGTATGCAAACCCAGTTAGCACAATGGCAAGAACATAGTAAGAGTTCAATAAATAAAGTTCTTGTTCTGTTCTTTTTATTCTTCCTGTTATGATTTGACAGAGGAATTTATCTAAAGGTGAGAAAGACATTTTACTTCATTCTCTCCGAAACACAGTTTTGTCATTTGCAAAATGGAGACAGAAATTCTTCACTCCACAGTTTGGTTTAGTGTTTTGTCAAACCTAAAAGACTGTATATACACAATGATTTGGCTTTCTATTGTTGCTGTTATTATTAGCAGCACTAGTAGTACCATCACAGTGACCTCTGGAATAGGAAGATATATTAATAATCATTTCTTCTTTGTTTAGTGGTCCCAGAACCTTTCTATCTCCTTGTATGATCTAGAAGCAAATCTGAGCAAGAGTTTATTATGGTCTCAAGGCTATTTTTGCAAATACTAGAATAGCATTGTGTTGCCTAGACACTTAAAACATAGTATGAGATTTGGAAAAAGCATGAATGCTGCTCCTAAATGAATTTCAAACAAAACAATCATATCTGAGATTAATATGGTGTTCTTTCCATCAGAGAAACAGATAGAAGTATAGACTGGATACCAAGCTTTATTCCCTAGATGTTTCCTCTTACATCTTCTCTATGAATTGTGGCAAGCTTTTCTCTTTCTATTAATTTGCACTTTCTTCCTCCTTCCCTTTATCCTCCCTGCTTCTTTTGCACATCCCTCCCGGCCTTCCCTTCCTCCAGCTCTCCCTGACTCTGCCCTTCCTTCCTTCCTTCCTTCCTTCCTTCCTTCCTTCCTTCCATTCTTCCTTCCTTCCTTCCTTCCTTCCCTCTTTCCCTCATTCCATCCTTCACTACTTACTGAAGGACTTCTAGGTGCCAGACATCTAGGCATAGGAATGCATAGATTTGCAAAATCAACAAATCATACAAGCCCCCTTCTTTCCTGGACCTTGCACTCTAGCATGGTAATTAACTTAAAAAATATAAACAAGTCAATAAACAAGATAACCCTGATTTTGTTAAAGCTCAAAGAAGAAAATAAAGAACAAATGGTATATCTCTCTGTGCTCTTAAGGTGATAACTGAAACAATAGAAGAAGCTCTCTCTGATATGTTATGGCAACAGAAAATAATTCCATGAAGTGAAATGTAACAAGCAAGGGGAGAGCAGAACTTATCTGTTCCAAATTCCAGAGTTCTGTTTTTAGCATTCTTGCGAGGAAAAAACAAGATACATACAAGATTTATTGTCTCATGCCCTGGTTTATTTTTTGTTATTGAAAATATGATAACAGCAAAGAAGAGCTGACAGTGGTCAATGGACAATCTTCTTTATAAAGAGTATGAATGTGACTGCCTTATGTAACCCGGTGAGGGACTGTTCACTGTCACAATATCGATCATTTTAGCTACAGATTTGACCCTTGATAGTATGCCAGAATCCTGGTGTAAAAAGGAACTGAAGGTTGGTCCCACATATGTGGTGATGTGTAATGGTATTCAGCCAACATTTTCGAACCCATCTATGCTGGGTCACTTCCTGAAGTAATGTGCAGACCTATCATGTAAAGAACCATCTTATTAGGTGCTCTCAGAGGTATGTGGGTCTTAGGTAACGAGTCTCTGCTCATCCATGACATTTTCTTTCTTTTACTAGAATTTGGATTCTTGGGTCAAAATTAGTAGCCATTCATAATGTTTTTGACCCATAGCATGCATTTTTAAAATCAACGTATATATTAATATTCCCATTATCGGTTTATCCACCAAGTACTTGCTATTCCTGCATATTATAGTTTTTAATATCACATTTGCTAAATCTATAGAATTAAAAGTTGTTTTCTTCATATACATATATGTGTATATATACATGTACATATATGTATGTATAAATATATATGTATATACATATGTATGTGTGTATATACAAGCACATATTTACATACACATGTGTATATATGTATACATATATGTGTGAATATACATGTATATATGTTTATAAGTACGCACACACACATGCACACATATACACATACACACACACACACACACACACACACACACTGCAGAAGACACAGAAGCCCACTGCTTGCATTTTCCTGCCAAAGGATTACTTTAAGGATTTCCATGCAGTTAGCTGAGACCCTGTAGCTGAAGTACCTTTAGGCTTGACCTCAGGATCCAAGTCAAGACCCTGCTTTCCACAGGCACATCCCAGCCAATGACTGAGCATGGTGAGTTTATTAAAGCCTGGCCGTTTATGTGCAACATGAGACTCCTTTTAAGAGTAATGTTTGCTCCAGGGGTCCCATTGTTTTGGTCAAGATGTTGTCAGATCTACATTGCCTTATACTGCTTTTTCTCCTCTTTGATCGCATGGGTAGAAGATCTGCATTTGATAAGAGGAACTTCCATGTCCAAGTCGGCTACATACCCCTTTTATTTTTCACAGTCATAAGCCCCTAATAAGCCATTGGCACTACTATCTCTGTCTCAGCATTCTATTTTCCAAAGGACCCAACTAATACACATCTTTTGTTCCCCACAAAGGGGGTATTTGCTTTCCATATGCTTACAGACTTTAAAATCTAAATGTTCAAGGCCATTGCCTCTTTTTTTCTTGTTTTTCTAATAAAAAATGTTAAACAATGTTCTTAATCTATTTCTGCTTAGCTTGTATAACCTCCTTTAAAACACACACACATTTTATCAGTCTCAATTCTTTTTTTTAAGAGAGAGGTCCTCAAAGATAGAGTCTAATTTAGATTCTTAGGGACAACTAACACTTACTGCTTTCATTTGAACACACTCAAGCATAATTTTGCAGACATTTACCCAAAAATGTTTACATTCCACTCATACATATTTATGTTTCATCTAAAGAACTTAGTCTGACTTTTATCGATTATTGAATTTAGCTTCTATTTTTATTTAAATTGTGTCCACCTTACTTAAAAACCTCAACTTCATTCACCCAACATTACTAAGAAAATATTCTGTGAATTCTTCAAGTATCATCTATCTCCATTACACTATCCACGATAATGCCAAATAAACTTTCTAAACTATAAATCAGACAATTTGATATCTGTCAGATTGGAAGTGATAAAACTAAAATGAGTTTGTGTTGATATATATACACATTATGCTGAATAAAAATGTAAATATTAAATGTTGCTGACAACAGTTAATTAAACAAATGGCAATCTATATCACTGAAACTTATAATTGTCCAAATCCTCTCACTTAGCAGGGGGCTTTTATTATTTATACCTCATAGTAATTTATTCCTAAGAAACAAATTATCTAAATGACATTACCATGCTACCTTTATTTATGGTGGAAAAAGTCTGTCTTTTGAAATGGATTATGAGATACTTGTAGACTGAGATTAGCCTTTGTGATTTTTTTCTCCCTATATTTAATCCAGTGCCTGGCACACAGTGAATGTGTATAGGTATGTCAATAGGTATTTTCTGGATTAATGTCTATTTTGCAGTGGCAATGGTGAACAAAAAGACCCAATTGAACAAATGGCCAAGAAGAGAACATTACTCAGGTCCATTTTGGCATCTAACACATTTCTGTCTTACAGAAGACCCTGTGCCATAGTTATTACCTATTAAACTGAAGTTCAAAACAAATTTGACATTAGTATCGAAATAAAAAACCAGGGTGTGAGTCCCACCTCTGCTATGAACTCTGCCACTGTAACTTTGGCCAAGTTATAGGACATCTCAAACTTGAAGGCAGCCACCTGCTCTGCCATTTCAGGATCATCAAGGGACCCAAATGAGAAAAAGTTTAGAACAGACTTCCTTCTTGGCTGCGGAAGGATATATAATTATACCCCTAATTAATGTGTTTTACAAGAGTTCTTTCCTGTTTCCAAATCTAAATTCAATTTTACGCCCTGACCTATTTATATATAAATGTACTTTTCCTCAGTATTAAACGTATTAAGATTTTACCCTTTGAATTTAAAAGAAAAAAGCAGGGGTAGTCTTTAAATTTTTAATTTAGTTAATAACTGAATTAATGGTAAGTCATAGAAATTTATCTCAACAGCGCTGAAAAGTCATGAATCAAAGAAATAATAATATATGTATATGTGCCTGTACATTGAATTTTTCTATTTGGAAACTTACATACAATACCACTGGATATAGAAGAAAATATACAAAAAAAATTGCTTTTTAAACAATAATTGTTCTTAATAATAGTTTTTAAATGTGCTACAACAAAACTTCACAGGATTTACAAGTCAGACAAAATATGTTTGATCTCTTAATATACTGTTAAATTAAAACATTAAAAACATATATCTTCATTTATTAAAAACTTATTTTTATAAAGCTATTTTTTAACCTGGTTTAAAAAGGCTGTTTGTTAGATAACTTACTTCATGGCTTATAAAATCTGTACCACCAGATCACAGGGTATTAGCTGGATTTAATATTGACCATAATAATATCTTCATAAGAGCTCTAATGGATATATATGTATTGTGTTTTACAAGGAGGAATCTAGTAGCAAATGTAATAATATCTAAAGTGCACTGAATGATTACCACATGACGTGCACTGTGTGTTTGGTATTTATTGTTTTATCTGATCTTCTTCACAGTATTATGTGGTACGTTCCATACCCATTTTACAGATGTGCAAATTGGAACTTAGATACTTTTCAAGCATCACACAGCCAATAAGCAACTGAATTTTCACTTAAATCTACTATTTAAGTTTCTCTGATATATAAGCACATTCTTCCCTTTATTCCAGGATGAAAAATGGTGTCAGATCATGTGTTAAATAGGTGATATCCTACAAATGCTCTGTGATTTGTCGTAATCAGCATCAAAAATGGTTGTAGGGCTCACTGTGTACCTCATGTCGCATATTCAAATATTATTGATGCAGGCAGTGAAGTACTTACACATAATATTTCATAACCCAAATCCCAAGAAAAGCATTTCCCTGAAGCAAAAACATGGCAAATATAATTCGAAATTTAGGCCACAAACCTGTTTCAGGCTCAATGGAAAAATAAGGCTGCCCTTCCAATATACTATAAACCAACTTTGCACTGTTTCCATAAACTGGGTCATCAGCGTCGGTCGCAGTGACGTTAGTGACAGATGTACCTAATAAAATAGAGAAAGAAAAAAGATAATAATTAACACATTGTCCTTTGCCAAGAGCTACATTTTGTCAAGTATTTTATACAGAAATCCATGTGTAGGGAATAAAAGGAAAAGAAATCTTTTTAAAAAGTTGAAGATAAACTGCTCTCTCATAACTTCAACAATATCTAAGTCTTTTAAAAGAAAGAGTCCTGGAGTACTATATAAAGATACTTTTAGTATCTGTATTATTTAAGATTACTTTGTAGCTTTCATTTTAAAGATAAGTATTAGAAGCATGCAGGCTTGGGGAATATGCAAAGGAATCCTAACAAAGGAATATGAAATATAAGGTTAATAATATAATATACCATGTCACATTTACGTCTTACAAAAGTACAACTAAATGTACCTGGAAAAATTGGCTGCTGAAAAGCTGTACAGAAATATCAAAAGAATATTTTATACCATCTTGTTTAATTATTCAGAATATAAAATTAGATCTGAGTCACCAATTAATCATCTTGCTTACATAATTAGGCATAATGGATAACAGAATCATAACCTTTTTTTCAAATTTATTTTTTATTCACTCATTCATTCAACAATTGAGCATATACAGTTTGCCTGTTATGGAGTATATATATAAAAATATAGGGGAAATTTAATGCCAAGATGGGGAGCGTTGGCTTTACCCTGTAGGAAATAGGGAAGAAATTTCAGTTAAAGAGCAAACCTATACATTTTGGATTTAAAGAGCAACCAAATCTCTATACATTTTGATGCCATTAAAAAAAATAACTTCCACCTGCCTCCCCAAGTATATTGTTGGCAGACATGTAAATAATCAAACACACACACACACACACACATACACACACACACAACAAATCTTTACACTCAAAAAGCTCGCAGTTCGAGGGGGAATAAGAGGAGGAAGGGTCAAACAAATAGAGAAGGAAATTCAGCTGAATGCAGTAGCACCAATTATGGATCTCTCACTTAGTCCAGCACAGACAGGGTGATCAGGAACATTTTCTAACAGAGGTTGCCTTTGAGTTAAATCATCAAAGAAAGGTAGAGTTTAACCAGGAGAAGGAATTCTAAGCAAGAACATAAACATAAGAAAAGGCAAAGTAGTGGGAGAGACTATGGGAAGTTCTGGGAACTCCTGAAAATGGAAAGAAATTGAAAAAGTCTGGTGTGGTAACAAGAATCACATGCTGTGAGGTCAGGGCCAATGTCTTCTTCATGCAGCAAGTGCTGGAAACATAATGGTTATTGAATATACCTTTACTCATTGAATAAATGGGTGAGTGAATAAATTATCTGACGATTTAATGAGAAACAGCAGGCAGGTGTTACAGATTAGTTTCCTTGGAAGTAGACTCTGAGATAAAGACTTCTTGCTAAACTTTCACTGGAGAGCATTTTAAATCAATATCTATGGGGGGAGTGAAAAGGACAAAACTGGACAGAAGCATCTGGGATGTGATGCAGTCACAACGAAAGCCTCATTGGACTCCATAGGGCTCTAGAGATGGCATGCCCGTTGAGGAAATGGGCCAAGCTTTTATATTCCAGCAGGAAACAGTTACAGCATGCAAGATGCCCCCTGAGAACGGAGCCTTAGTCTTGGCCCAAGCAGCTCCCTTCAGGGGAGGACAACTACAAAATGGTGGCAGGGAGTATCGGTGTTGGGCTGTCAGAAATCAACATGTTCAGCAGCAACTAGGGGAAAAGCAGCATACCTCAGTGTTTACTGAAATAGGGTAGAACTTTAGCAAGATCTAGTCCGTCAATATCTTTTGGAAGTGTTTTGAATTACAGTCACTCCAAGTGAAAAGATAATAATAATATTTGTTGAGCAGTTGATAGTCCTGTAAAATTGGAATTTCTACTCAGAATGATGACTCAGAGGTTCTACAAAATCTGCAGTTATAAAAAAATGCAACTCAATGCCTCTTGTGTAACACATTCCACCAGATGCAAGTAACTCATCAACTAGCTAGCAAAAATGAACACATGAGAGTACAATAGTTGTAGCTATTTGAGTATTACATAAGATGCAGAAGAATTGGGAGTAAAACCTTCTAGGTAAAAGGAAGATAGTGAGATAAAATTGCCAAAAAATACTCAGAAAGAGGGATGACAGGACAGAAAAAGTCTGCCACCAAAGCTAAGCCTGGACATGAAATTAAGAAGAAAATATAGGGGAATTTTCATGCCAAGATGGGGAGCACTGGCTTTACCCTCTAGGAAATATGGAAGAAATTTCAGTTAAAGAGCAAACCCATATTGTGGGCCACTCTCTCTGTTAGGGCCTCCGGATTTAATTGGAAGTAGAGACACAGATTAGGAGACCAGACTTGTTATGAGGTTACAACAGTAGTTCAATTAAGAGAGGATAAAACATTAACACTGGGTAATGACAATAGAAGTGGATATCAACGTTAATTTCCCTGTTTTGATCTTTGTGGTAAGGTGTTAAACTGAAGGTAAACTGAGTCAGGGGTTGCTATGGTTTGGATGTGTCTCCTCCAAAATTCAGGTGTTGCTAACATAACAATATTAAGAGGTGGGGCCTTTAAGAGGTGATTGGGCCATGAGGGCACCTCCCTCACAAGAGATTAGGTGCTTTTGTTTTTGAGAGGGAGCCTTGCTCTGTCGCCCAGGCTGGAGTGCAGTGGTGTGATCTTGGCTCACTGCAACCGCCTCCAGGGTTCAGGCGATTCTCCTGCCTCAGCCTCCTGAGTAGCTGGGATTACAGTGTGCTCCACCATGCCCAGCTAATTTTTGTATTTTTAGTAGACACGTTTTTCACCATGTTGGCCAGGGTGGTCTCTATCTCGTGACATCGTGATCTGCCCACCTCTGCCTCCCAAAGTGCTGGGATTACAGGTGTGAGCCACCTTTCAGTGCCTGATTAGGCACCTTTATAAAAGAGCTTAACAGAGGGAGAGACAAACTCCCTTTCATCATAAGAGAACACAGTGTTCCTCTTCTTCAGATGACAGTACGAAGGGCTTCACCACATGCTGCACCTTGATTTTGGACTTCCCAGCCTCCAGAACTGTGCGAAAATAATTTTTTCTTTATTAATTAACCCGTTTTAGGTATTTTGTTATAAGCAGCACAAGACAGACTAAGACAGGGGTATGTAGTAACTATTTTTGCAACTTTTCTGTAAGTCTAAAATTAGTCCAAAAATTAAAGAAAAAGAATGAATAATAAGAAAAAGACACCAGAGTTACCGAAAGAACTAACAGAGTTCAGAGACTTATGAGAAAGATGTCTCTTCATGTAGAAGACCATATAACAATTTATTTTTTTGCTTTGTTTTGTAGTCTAGTGTATTCACTTTCATTTTTTAAGGAGAAATTATGTTCCCATATTGTGAAGTAACACATTATCAGAAAAAAAAAATAAGTCAAGATGTAATATTCAGTATGATATTAAGTTAATGAATCTGAGAATTTAGTTCCAGTCACTGCATATGTAATCGAAAAAGAAAAGTGAACAAATTGTCAAAACTTCCTGTCATTACCAAATTTCCTTCTAGTGGGTGACTCTTAAATTAGGAAATGCCTTCACAGAGAAAAAAACATATCCAAATATTTTCTGAAAAACCGTGTTGTTTTATTTATGCACAGGCTTCGTGCGTTTGGTCAGAGTAGTATGGGGTTAACAGTTTTGAACATAAAATAGTTCTGACGTCTTCTGAAACGCTTATCTGTTTCTTTGAGCAAATACTTTAACCTGTCTTAGCCTCAGATTTAAATCTACAAAATATAATAGGGTTATTGTGAGAATTAAACAAAATAATATATGTAGGTACCTATCACAGAAATAACAACATGCTAAGCCAGTGAGTACTAAATGTCTCTGTATTAGGTTTTACCCTCTGAAAAACAGACCCCTAATGTCCCTTCCAGATCTATGGAATAATAAAATGGAGACACATTTCTAAAAAATATTTTCAGGCAGTTTGATACAAAATAATAGTTAAAAATGCCTGTAGTGTGCACCAAACTTTTTAAAATTTAGCTTCATCCATTCTCCCTAGAGACACTAATTTCTATTGTGATTACTTTGAAGAACTACTATTCAGATTCGTTTGTAAAGTGAAGTATTCTTTTTTCATACTCCATAGTCATGCAAACTGTTTCCTGTTAAATGGAAGATAGGATATTTTCTCTGGAGCTTACAAGACTGATGATGAACATATCTATTTCTGTTGATCTTATCTTATTATGAGAGGCAGCCCATCATGTTATTACTGGTGCTGGAGTAAGGGGTTGGGTTTCTATCTTCTACATGCTCTGTGATTCAGCTTTTCATATGCAAAGACAAACAATTTTTATTCTACAAGCCTCAAAGTTTTGCGTGAGGATCACATGTAATCACATGAAGTATAGAAAAGTGGTTGAGAGGATACATGTGGAGTCAAAATGTCTTCAACCAGAACATTTCTTTTACATTTCATCTCCAACATTTACTAGCTCTGTGTTCTTGGCCAAGTAACAAAAGTTTTCCAAGCTTTGGTTCCCTAATCTTTAAAAAGGAAGGTGAACATTATTGTTACATCATCATAGCCTTGGTGAGATAATTATATGGATTACTGTATGCAAAGAGCACAGAAGAGTTATTGACACTACGAGCTTACTGTCACTATTGTTATATTATGTGTGTATACAGGTAAAACTAACAAACTAATCTTTTACAATTTTAGATGGTAGTGAATGCTTTAATTTATAATTAAGTGTAGTTTTGCATAATGGCTTTGACAATAGATTTCATTAAATTTGGGGGGAAACACAAAAAGACAATCTCAAATGTAGCAATATATCCACACGCTTAGAAAGAAAGTGATTTTGTTAGTAAAACTGCTCAAAAGAAAACACACACAAACACCACTCACACACACACACACACACACACACACACACACAGTATCTCATTATCTCATTCTTCCATCCAGTCTACTAATCTATCTCACATCACCTTTCTCTTTGGTATAAAATTGCTCTGAGAGCAAAAATAAAAAGTATTTTATAAACAAAAGTGTACTATGTAAAAGCTTATACATTAAGCAGGAGGCTAGACACCGGGCACATCATCAGTACAAGTTTCTCATTGTTATTTGAATGGATGGCATTTTGAATGAATGCCATATCTCCCAGTCCATGCCAAGATGAACTACTGGGCTGGGGACTGCAACAGAGCTAAGACAAGCTTTTACCCATGTACTCATCCAGAATATTTCTGCCTGATGTCTGGCTTCCTGGAAATCCACATCCTTCAGCTTTAGACATCTGAAAATGAAAAGGCAGCACTACTTTCCGTCAAGGACGATATTTCTCCTAATAGTGACTCAAGACTGTTGATGCACCTGTACACTGGAATAGATGTGTGTAGAGGTTTTGTGGGTGCATTTGTCAAGTGATTGCCCATGGGGGAAAAAATGGATGTTTCGAGGTTAATCTTTTAGCAGAAAAGATTGCTAGTCAAGCAGCAATGCACACTTCTCCATGGATATGCATACAGAATGCAGACCACGAAGGCAAATTGAAATGTGTAAACCTTGCAGGATAATGTTTCTTCAAAGCTGCAAGTGTTGGTGTGTGATAAATAGGACCCTGAGTAATACCCAGGAAATATAACAACCAGGATTCTCTGTTTGTGTTTTCATTTGGAACTGTTTTTGTCCCTTTGTCAAGGATACAAGAGACTCATTTAGCTAGTGACTATAAATTTGACACTGTGCCATTTCTCCAAGAAAGCCCCTATTATAATCCAACTTGATACTGATCCTAATTATAATAATATAGCTGTTGTATTTCCAGCTGTTGTCAACAAAAATGATCCCTGTCACCACAATTCAGCCTGCTAGTATCAAGCCGAGTATGAACACATCAATTCCAAGGTGAATTCTGCATTAAACAAACTTTTTTTTTCTTTTTTGCATTTAGTTTGTTTCACTCGTTTAAGTGAAATTTGCCAATGTGCTGCTCGGATTTTAATTAACAAAAGGCTTACAGTATCATGTGCCTCTTGCCACACCTGAAAGTTTCCTCCCATTAGCAGCAGGACCCATTTTTCTCCCCTTCCACATAATAACAGCAAAAACTACAGGCAAAATTAACCATCAAAGATGCTACACTGTCGGGGTGGAGGTTCCAGTTTGCTGATAAACTAAGATGAAAGACCTTCAGGAAAATGAGATGTTGGGGTTTGGGTAGTGCAGCTGTGTTAGCGAGGCTATACTTTTTTTTATGAGTAAGTCAGCACACCAATTCTGCACATTATTCAGAAAGAAAAATGCTGGTGCTGACACCCTGATCAGGAAAACGACAGTTTGGTGCAGCGTAAAAATGTGCCCACTGGAAAAGCTAAAACTCTTATGATCAGAAGAAGACAAATTCCATTTGCAAAGAGTCATTTGCAATACATTTTTAGAGAATCAGCATTCCAATACCAGGTGGGAAAATAAAGGGGCAGAACCTTTGCAATAACTAAAATTCAGAACAATGCACATTCTTGGTCTTCTACTATGCTCTTCAAACTTTTTATTTGACCTGCTAGTTATCCTGTTCCAAGTGCAGTATGTACAATCCACAGACAAAGTGTTTGGCATTATCATCTGAAAATGTCTTACTTAAACATTCATGCATCCCAAAGATCACTGGCCTAAAAGGTCATAGCAATGATGCAACTGCGTTCATTTATTTTAATAAAACTGAGCCCTCAACCCAACTCCTCTCATCCTTATTAATTCCCCTAAGTACTGTGCAATACAAATAGGTGTTGGGAGCACAGGGGTTGCCATGACAACCTTTTTTGGGTTGTTGTATAGCAGAGCAATAATTTCATAAGGCCTGCATTACTTGTTGATGTTTAAATTATTCCTCACTAGAAGTAGAAGCTTCTGGTCCTGGATGTTTTAAATGTGTCAGACAGAATTCATTATTTATTAGTTTTATGGAAAAATGCTCTGGGATACTTCTGTACTGACTGTCACATATTTCTAGAGGTTTTATGTGTGTTGGTTGGTTGGTTGGTTGGCTGGATGTCCGGTTGGTTGGTTGGTTGGTTGGTTGGTTGGTTGGTTGGTTGGTTGGTTGGTTGATTGAAAGTCTCCACCCCCTCCCCATCACACTGCTTCCCCAACCAAGTTACCACAGAGCACCGACCTGATGTGCTGAAGGAAAAAGCTGAGAAATAAGTGTATGCAGCCCATGCATTCATTTTTCTTTGCATCTCTCTGACTGATACCATAGTCTTCAACATTCATTTCTCTTGAAGGGCCTCAAGCAAATTCCCCCAGCAGGAAGCATGCCCTAAATTCTACCAGTATTTTTCAGTTTTGCTATTAGCTACCAAATATCCAAACCTCCAAGGGGCAACTTAGGCGTGTCTTTGCAGGGGGAGGAGGATTAAACATGGATCAGCCAAAGTTAGGGCTTCTTTTTTAACCCTGGATATGGAGATTTCATCCCCAGCCAAGCTCTAGGGGAAATAAATACTGAATTATTACCATCTGACCATTCAACTACAAGCAAGAAGACAGGGATTCCAATTCTTTCCAGGAACTTCTGCTCTGAATTACAGTTGGTTAACTGCAAGAGTAATGTCAAGCTGATAACAGAAGATCAAACCCTTCTCTTTTGTGGGTAATCAGTCTTGCCATTTAGAAAAGCCAGTTGAATAAGAGGCAGAGGCAGCATGTGCTTGCCATTTTGCTTCAGAAACCTCTCTTTTATGACACATACCACACAATGGAATCCTCAATGATTAGTTCCCTATCTTTCTTTTTTTGCAAAGGCCTACTCGCTGCTCACTGGGTGTTCTCCTTATGTGCCAACTCTCAGCCTGTAGTGAAATGTTGCTGCCAAATTCCACATGCTCCAAATTAAGTTTATTATGGGAATGGAGACAGATTCTTAACTGCAGTCAGGCGGATGGACAGCACCGAAATGTATCCTGTCATTTCTCTGGCTCCATGATTTGGGACATAAACCGGGGAAATAAAATTCAGTTTACATATTTTATTCTGGAGAATTTAGGGAACCAAACAATTTTGTAACTTAATGAAACATCCATGCACACTTAACATTGTGTTTTTAGAATGAGCCTGAAACTTTCTGAAACAATTAAACACTTTAGAAAATGTGTTTGAGCACACGGATGTCTTCTATTCACCCATGCATCATTCCAGCAAACATCTGTAATGTGCATTGGGTGAGAGAAATGGAAAATATCATATGAAAATGTGTAACTGTAGAATCTTAGACACGTTTATATGCACAGAGGGGAACTACCTTCTGTATCCTTCACAAACAATGCTAGCATGGTAGCCTACCCACTGCTTTTGCAAACAGATAATGAGGGCAATTGGAGGCCTGGTTGTGAAAACTAATAAGCTGCCTGTTTTATAGTTCCATGTGCATAAATACACCTTTTTGGAATTGGGGCGGTTCTATTTCTAATACAACAGAAAAAGAAAAGTATTTTCTTTTCATGGGCTGCTTATTCCCAGGAATCAAACCTTTGCTAATTTGTTACCTATGGAATGAAATCCTGTAAATGCTTGAGAACTAAATAGCACCATAAATGCTTTAGACTGGCAGCTATCGATATCCATACTGACTTTGAGAAATTATGCTACTGGTGGCACCACAGATGCCCAGATGCCTTCTACGGTATGTGACAACTACAGCAGGTAGAAATGTCATTCATCCTCTAATCCCAGCACTTTTGGAGGGTGAGGCAGGTGGATTATTTAAGCCTAGGAATTCAAGACTAGCCTGGGCAACATGGCCAAACTCTGTCTCTACAAAAATATAAAAATTAGCTGGGCATGGTGGTGTGCACCTGTAGTCCCAGCTACCAGCTACTTGGGAGGCTGAGGTTGGAGGATCACTTGAGCCCGGGAAGTTGAGGCCAGAGTGAGCTGTGATCATGCTACTGCACTCCAGCCTTGGTGACAGAGTGAGACCCTGTCTCAATAAAAAAAAAAAAGAAATGTAATTCATTCTATTTGAGTAAATGAACTAATCTATTCAATCACACAATGGCTATTTGCACAGTATATACTATATGCCAAGCACCAACTTAGATGCAAAGGGTATAAGAATATGCAAGAGAGCTAGACTTTCTCTCCTAATAGCATTTGAAGTTTACTTTAGCAGTGTTTTCACCTGGTTTCTCTTTATTGTAAGAAACTGCAAATCTTCATTAAATGTATTTTCTCGAAGGCAGCATGATGTAATTGAAAGTACAGATATATAGTGTATACACTATATACATACTACATATACATATAAAATTGTAGCATACATAGAATTATATAGTGTGTGTGTGTATATATATATACACATTATATAATTATAATATCAGATGTTTCTGTTGACTTTATTTGATTATACTGAGATCATATTCTACATCATGACTTAACACCCTTACACAGGAAGAGAATGTTTTTACATCAATAAGACTCCATTGCTTTATTTAAAAAATAGAATAGTACCACCTACTTCCTATTCTTATTCTGAGGCTCCATAAAAATAACATACAATCAGTATTCTCCAGGTGAGAGAATTTTGGTTGAGACACACTCTGTGCTCTCCAGAGCAAGCTACTTTATTTTTATTTAACAAAGTATAAATTTAAGGCCAAGATGCATGAGAACAGAGATATAAGCATTACAGTGGCTGTTCGTTTTTTTTGTCCCTCTAGAATGAGCTTACTTTTCTAGTTAAAAGCCAGGACTTTAAAACATAATAATAGTGTAGCTGGGGTTACCCTCCCTTTTCCAATGTGAGAGACAAAATCCTATCAAATTTCAAATGTGACAAAGTGAAAAGCCACTGAGCCACTGAGCTACTGAGGAATGAGAGTCTTAGATGAAAAAGGTTTAATTTCACAATCATTACAAGAACTATGAGTTCACAGAGTTTTTAAAAAATATTTACTAACTGACACGAAATATAATATCCTATACATGCCGCCATCAATGACATAGCTAAAATGGAAGTAAATTAGGCTAATCTCCTATTTGAGCCCTTCATTGTTTTAATTTTTTTTAATTGAAATCCTGCTGTGTCAAGCTTCAGAAACTGCGGTTAGAAGATTCTTGCTTTCTACAAGGGTAGACCAGTAGGAGAGCCAAAATGGAACAATTAGCTACTAAATGATGTGATCAAATGCAGTGGGTGACACAGAAATACTGAAGAATGCAGGAGGGGCAGATAAACAGTTAAAGCAAAGTTTTTGGTATGAGGGGACTTTGATATTGAAATCAGGCAGAAAAAGATAATCTCAGGTCAATGTTCACAGGTGGGGCTGCAAATCTAGAAGGGTACCCATGAATTTGACTAATCAGTTTGGAGCTTATTTTAGGAGAATGGAAAGTTAGTAAAGGGTTTTAAACAACCCTTTCCACCAATTACCCAGAGCTTTGTAATATTCCCAACTACTTTATTTACCCACTACTCACTCCATTTCTGTGATTCCACAACTATCCACATAGCTCAATCTGACCCAGATTCCAGATTTAGTTGATTCCTAAGTTGAATCATTCCCTCTTCTGAACTCTCAAAATACTTTACTTGATTGTCTCTAGGGGCACCTTTTACTTTTATATATAAATTGCAGTGCATACAGATTTTCCCCTTTTAGACTAAAAGCTTCTTAGGAACAATATTCTTTCTTATTCTCTCAACTTTCCCCTCTCATCCTCCCCTCCAGAATTAACCCATTCCTTGATAACATGGCTCCGTCACTTTGTTCAAATTATAAGCATGAATCTACATTGTCCTTGTTATACAAGTGCTGAGAACTATACCTGATATGAAATATTTATTCATTTAATCTTTGCAACAAGCCTCTGAGTCTGCTATGAATATCTGAATTCAAACAGAAGGAATAAAGCCTGAATTTATAAGGACACGAGAATGCTCCCAAATCTGCCCTTTTAACTGCTACACAAACACTATAATGTTTCTGAATTTTACATCTTCAAATGCAGAGAATATGAACTAGTATTTTTATTTTTCTCCCTAGCACTTCAGAAAATGCTTTGCATAGAAATATTCATTGGGTAAATATATAAATAAGAGAGAATTAATAGCTTATTTTCTTTTGGAAGATATTCAGAGATTAATGTAGCACATTGATCATGTTCTGAATTATGTGTTATGTCTACTGTTTTGTCTTCTTTTCATTTTGAATTTATTAAAGAATAACGGTAAGGGTTTTCTCTACTCTTAAAAGGGTAGTCATGACCTTGTCTTCTTAGAGTTGAACCCAGTCCCAACATAAGCCAGAATTAGCTTCAAACGGAGGCTAGTATGATATTAAACTCTCACTTAAGCTCCTGAAAACTTCCTATAGAGGAAATAATGAACTGAGGACATTATCACATTATCACACGAGATCAAGTATGGAACTTGCCACTTTTTGGGGTCATGTCAGCACTCAAAAACTGTCAGATTTTGAAGCACTTCAAATTCTGAATTTTCAGATTAGGGGACTCAATCTGTAGTGAGACCTTGGTACATGCATGCTTAGAGAGAGTTGTTTAAAAAATGTATTGAAAACTCTACGTGACATAATTAAAATCTTGGCAAACACAAAATAATATGTGAAAGGCTAAGCAATGGGTTTACAAAGAATGATTAAGGTTGTGCCAATATCTGGAGGCTTTCAAATTGGGAGGATGAAAAGAGGAGGGAGAGAGAGTGAGATAAGAGAAAGAAAAGAACTGATTATGTTTTCAGCCCTGAAGATGTGCTGATGAATCTGACGCAGACCATATTCTTAAGTAATCTAATGAAATGATAGCAAGAAAATTGAATAGATGCTGTATTTATTCAACATATTCCTTCATTTCTCTTTATTGGTATCCTTCTTTCTCTGTATTCTCACTTCCTTAGTCCCTTCTTCTCACACTATATATGTTTCTCAATTGCTGAATGCCACCAAACTGTTCCTGGTCTTGGAGTACCAATGATGAATACCGGTCCTTCTTGGCCCTTAGGGAGCTAGCTCACAGCCTACCAGGGAGAGGCACAGAAAGAAACATTATTGCCTAGACTGTAACCTAGGCGTGTTGCAGGAGTGGTGGGTGTGCAGAGAAGATTGACCCTGAGACCTGCTACTAGGGAAAGGTGGAGGGCAGGTTGGAGGTATGTAAAGGAAATCTTCCTGATAAAGTGACATGATGAATAGCCCAACTTCAAAGGTAGTCTGTGATTTTACAATATTGACTGTTATAGTACATGAACAATGTATGTGTCCATGTGTACATGTATGAGTTCTGTTTTGTTCCCCAATCCTCAAATTTCATTACATTGAAGACTTCTTACAAAATTGGGTTTCATTTGAAATGCAACTCAAAGTGCACAAATCTATGTATGCAACATATTTAGCAATATCAATAATTTTTAAAATTTCTTTAAATTTTAATCATTATGCCATACTAGGAAATAGCAACTTCACTAGGTGCTTATGAAAGGTAAAAGCAAAAATTAGCAGATTTGAAAGACGCACAAGAATAATTTGAGGAAACATCAAAGAAAATTCTGACATTATTTAAAAAATAACTCAAGTAATGAAGTCCTGCACTCAATTCAGTTCTGTTTCTTCTCTTTTCAATTCTTCCTAGTTGCCATATTCAAGACTCTTAGATGGAAAAGGAGAAAAAGACCATATACATTTTCTAACAGCTGTGCCTTTCCAACTATATTTTACAACAGCTGCGACATTTTTCTTTTTAACATTTGTACTACCTTTATGTTTACCCTTTGGGCTAATTTGTAGTTGACTCCAGTAATATAGCCCTTTTAGCCAACATTTTGTGACAATCATTGATTTAGCAGTCTCACAGAGTGCCTTAAAAATCGATGTATCTAGAAGAAAGAACTGGTGGGACTTCATAATATCACATCTTGTTTTTATCACAAATTTCCAATTTACCAAGTTCTTGTCTCATTGTTTATACCAGACAGGGCATGCTGATGAGATACACAACCCGTTCTGTCCCTTTTGGCAATCCATTTATAACCGAAGCACAATTAATATCTTTACAGCTGTTCGCCAGGCGGAAAGAAAAATGCGGCAGTAAGTATTTTGTACATGTTTCAGTGTAAATGTGTGAAGTGAGGAGCATTGGGAAATGTCTAAAAACAGTGGAATCTGAGCTGTTCTTGTATTTAGATTCTCCAGGGAAATGTTTTCAAAACAGTATTTCATATAGGAAGAGAAGTTACCTTGAGGAGCTTTCCAGAACTCCCAAGAAAATAATTAGAAATCAGGATAATCAGTAAACAAAGAACCTCACAAATGACTCTCCTTCAGAGGTATAGATTTCCCCAAAAGTAGTATGTTATTTCAAGATTTTAATTACTGTAAACCAAAAATATCTGAAACAGATCTCAATCACTTTAGAAAGTTCATTTTGCCAAGGTTAAGAGCATACCCATGACACAGCCTCCAGAGGTCCTGACAACATGTGCCCAACATGGTTGGGGTTTTCTACATTGAAACTCACTAAATTTCAAGAGTGTGCCACATAATTTGAATCTCCCTTTCTAATCCATTGTCAATTGCCTGTTTTACTGTCAAATATTAGTCTGTAACTAGAATACTAATAATTACCATCAAATATAAAGGAGCTTCTATGTTTCTGGTACAAGTACTTATTTACTTGATATAATTATCTTATTTAGACTTAAATGAGACTAAATTATATTCAAATCACTTTCAGATTTCCAAAAGAGGATAGGCATAAATAGGTACTCGATAAATGTTTTTAATTCATTCATCTATTCAATTACTGATGTGTTTTTGTATAGACATTTATGGCATAATTATAAAAGCAAGCACCCCAATAATTAGTCCAGCCAGGAAAACACACACACACACACACATACACACACATACACACACACTTATACAATAAGTATATTTTTCCTTTTTTTGAGACAGGATCTCACTCTGTTATCCAAACTGAGTGCCGTGGTACCATAACAACTCACTGCAGCCTCGACCTCCCAGGCTCAAGCAATCCTCCCACCTCAGCCTCCCAAGTAGCTAGGATTACAGGTGTGTAATCCCACCATGGCAGATTTTTTTTTTTTTTTAATAGAGACAGGATCTGGTCTTGAACTCCTAGACTCAAGCAATCCTCTCACCTTGGCCTTCCAAAGTGCTAGGATTACAGATGTGAGCCACTGTGCCCAGCCTACCTAAGGATCTTAAAGAGAAAATTCAAAATATGGGCAAATGTTTTCATGGTAGATTCTGATGTAACAAATAAATATTTATTTAAGAAGCATTTAGAACATCATTGATGATCTTTATAATAATAATATTTTTTAAAGATGAACATAAAATAGGACACACAAAATGAAAACAACCAATGGGAAATGTGAGAAAACCTTAATTGTTAAAAACAACAACAACAAAAAGCTAAAATGTTGAGGCCACTGGCCTGGGTCCCAATAATCAACAGATGTGGGGTCTGTGGCCAGAAGCTAGTTCTGACTAACAGTAAATTACATGTACTTAATTGCTATGCTCTATTGTTCTATATGCAAAAAAAAAAAAAAAAAAAAAAAAAAAAAAAACCCAGAAATCAGTAGCTACCTGAAAATCAGAATGTGGAGACACTCACCGTACATATTTTGAAACCATCAAACAAAGCACAGTATGTCAGAAAACAGAGCAGTATATCCATCCGGTGTGAGAAGAACTCTGCTCTGCATGAATGGTTTCTCTACCAGGACTAGAATCCTCCAAGGAGCTGTGCTTATAATGCAAATCTCTGGGCCTGACTCAATGGAAACCAACTTGGAATCTCAGAGGTTCAGGACAGGAATTTACTTCACATATTAACCCAAGGAAAAGAGCTAATTGTGAGTTAGGACAGAGGCAAAGATGTTTACATCCTTCTAAAAGCATTATGTTATCTCAAGTTTTTAATTACTGTAAATCAAAAGTATCCGAGACAGGTCACAATCAATTTAGAAAGTTTATTTTGCCAAGGTTAAGGTCCCAACCATGACACAGCCTCAGGAGGTCCTGATAACATGTGCCCAAGGTGGTTGGGATACAGATTGTTTCTATGCATTTTACGGAGACATGAGACATAAATCAATACATGTAAAATTTACACTGGTTCAATCCAGAAAGGTGGGACAACTCAAAATGACGGCTTCTAGGTCATAGGTAGATTTAAAATTTTTCTGATTGACAATTGGTTGAAGGAGTTATTATCAATACAAAGGAATGCCTGGATTACTTTAAGTGGTTGTAGGGACCAAAGTTTTATCATGCAGATGAAGCTTCCAGGTAGCAGGCTTCAGAGAGAATACATTGTGAATGCTTCTCATAAGACTCAAAGAGTCTGTTCTAACAGTAATTCCAAAAGGGAGGAGGGCATAAAGAGTCCTGTCCAGCTCCCCATTCCCATCACAGCCTAAACTAGTGTTTTCAGGTTAACTTTGGAATGCCCTTGGCCAAGAGGAGGGCAGGTACTCAGATGGTTCGGGGGACTTAGAATTTTATTTTTGGTTTTTATTTTTGGTACAAAAGTAATATGAACTTGCTATGGGATATACACCTCTTTAACAACACAACTCAAAGAGACACTTCAGAAGGCACAGAAGCAAGAAGGCTGGGCTTTTAGGATGATACAAAGAAGTGTTAAGAAGTTAATTAGCACCTGCATTCTAAAGAGCAGTCAGTTACAATTTAGGACAGATGGGGGTCAAGCACTGAAAAACATTCAGAAGAGCCTGGGAAATTGTGAAAGATAACAGCTTAAACTTTATTTTTGTAAGTATTTAAACCTATGTTTTGTAATGTTTCTATGATTCTTTTCTAATTCCCTCTAGTTAGGGTATGTCTTGTGTGAATGTGTGTTCGTATTCGTAGAAATGAATGAAGAATATAGTTGCTAATATTATACGAATAATAAAAAGATTAATTATTTTGATAAACGCCTGTGTCCTGTAGACATAAATAAGCCTAAATTAGGTTGAAGTTTTTTCAACCACTTTTATTTGGTGGCATATCCCCCACACTGGCTTTGTCTCTGAAAGGAATAAAAACTTCCATAGCAGTGTTTTCTAAATTGTGGACGACACAGGCTACTTATGAAGCAGCACACCATAAGCTGGTTCAACATAAGGATTCCCAGGCCCCCCACATGAAGAACTGAACATGGAATAATACACATCAACTTGTAATAATTAACATTACTAATTAACTAGTAATTAAATAGTTATGTGGAACAGAGTAAGCTCTCAAATACGTTTACTATACAGACAGTCCCTGACTTATGACGGGTCAACTTATGAATTTTTGACCTTTATGATGGTGGGAAAGCGATCTGCAGTCAGTAGAAACTATTTTGTTTTTGAATTTTGATTTTTTCCTGAGCTAGTGATATGTGATATAACTCTGTTTTTCAATGCTGGGCTGAGGGAATGAACAGCAGCTCCCAGCCAGTCATGCCATTGTGAAGCTAAACAACCAGGTGCGGTGGCTTACTCCAGGTGAGGTGGCTCACGCCTGTAATCCCAGCACTTTGCGAAGCCAAGGCAGGTGGATCACCTGTGGTCAGGAGTTCGAGACCAGCCTGATCAACATGGTGAAACCCTGTCTCTACTTAAAATACAAAAATTAGCCAGGGGTGGTGGTGCACACCTGTAATCCCAGCTACTCAGGAGGCTGAGGCAGAAGTATTGCTTGAACCTGGGAGGCGGAGGTCGTAGTGAGCCAAGATCACACCATTGCTCTCCAGCCTGGGGCAACAGAGTGGGACTCCATCTCAAAACAAACAGACAGACAAAACTCTATGATGTCCTGTGGTGCCAGATGATTTTTGCCCAACTGCTGGCTAATATGAGAGTTCTCATCTCATGTACCCCCAAAATATATATACCTACTATGTACCCACAAAAAATTTTTTTAAATAAAAATAGAATTTCAAACATTTTTAAAAAAGAGTCTTGAGCATATTGAAGGTAGGCTAGGCTGAGCTATGATGTTAGGTACAGTAGGTTAGGTATATTAAATGCATTTTCTACTTATGATATTTTCTTTTTTTCGTTTTTTTGTTTTTTGAGATGGAGTCTCGCTCTATCACCCAGGTTGGAGTGCAGTGGTGTGATCTCAGCTCACTGCAAGCTCCGCCTCCCAGGTTCAGGCCATTCTCCTGCCTCAGCCTCCCGAGTAGCTGGGACTACAGGTGCCCACCACCACGCCCAGCTAATTTTTTGTATTTTCAGTAGAGACAGGGTTTCACCATGTTAGTCAGGATGGTCTCAATCTCCTGACCTCGTGATCTGCCTGCCTCAGCCTCCCAAAGTGATATTTTCAACTTACTATAAGTTTATTGAGATGTAATCCTAAGGTACAAGCATCTGTATTCAGTAAATACTTTCAAATATTATCTCTGAATGTATCAATACAACAGCCCCAATTGAGAATATTATCTCACTCAATCCAAAAAAGTGGTTCCATTATTGTTGCTTTTTTACCTGTGAGGCAACTATTAGTTTGGTGCAAAAGTAATTGCGGTCATTGCCATTACTTTCAATGGCAAAAACTACAATCACTTTTGCACCAACCTAATAGATACAGAGAGGTTCAACAAAAGGAATCTTTCCTAAGACCCCATAGACTGTTGAGGCTCTGTTTTTGCAAGACAGAGTGCTAGAATCTGGGGATTCAAGATTAGGCAAATAGGCATGAAACTTACCATGACAGAGCTTCTAATTTTAAAAATCTTTGGTGGAAACATTTGAAAAGCTCTAGCAAGTTAGGAAGTCCTTTAGATGACACATTTCACAGGGAGAAGCAGACAATTATAGATTTGGAACAACTGTGAGGTCTTGCATTTTTCCCAGAATATATCATGCAGCTTCTGCATTTAATTCCTTAATATGTCAACATTACTTTTTTTTTTCACATAAAATAGCTTGGCAAATGTTCTGGTAACACCTCAGAAGGTTGTATCATGGCTCTTACTGTTTTTAGAATCCTCTGGAATACTACCGTGGACTCCATGTAGAGAAATAGAGCATTACAATGACCCACTAAGCAAGTGGTTTTCCAAGTATGGTCTCCAGACCAGCAATATGAACATCACCTGAATTACAAACTCTGAGGGCAAGACCCAGAAGCTACACTTTAACTGATCCTCCGTGTAATTCAGACATACACTCAAGTTGAAGAACCAGTGCATTACATGAGCAGGAACGGGACTATTATATTGAATCAACAGAGGTATCATCTATAACCTAAAAAGAAGCCACGAATATAATGTGTTATATAACGCTTTCACTTCTTTTTATAACTTTACAACCTTCTGAGTGAGGTAAGATAATTACAAAGTTTCTAATTTTATAGAAAAGTTGACTGAAAAGTTTTCCTCTCCTATATATGCTTCAAGGTTCACAGAAAGTACTATGTCAGGTGTACATCCACGTATGCATTTTAAACTTTTAATATGTGTTACATTGTGAAATTATCAGTAAGCGTATAACTCATAAATCTCCCGTTTTCATCCAAGGCTTTCCATCATTATGGTATCTTGCCACCAAATAGGAAGCTATTGTGACCAAAATAGTTAGGTTTTCTTTTCTTCTCCCTGCCCCTCCACCCCCAAGATGGAGTCTCGCTCTGTCACCCAGGCTGGAGTGCAGTGGTGCCATCTCGGCTCACTGCAACCTCTGCCTCCCATGTTCAAGCAATTCTCCTGCCTCAGCCTCCTGAGCAGTGGAGACTACAGGCACCCGCCACCACACCTGGCTAATTTTTGTATTTTTAGTAGAGACAGGGTTTCACCATGTTGGCCAGGATGGTCTCAATCTCCTGACCTCGTGATCCACCCGCCTCAGCCTCCCAAAGTACTGGAATTACAGGTGTGAGCCACTGTGCCCGGCCAGGTTTTCTTTCTTTAGGATGGTAAATTAAGAAATGTAGAATGCAATATAGTCTTCATGCTAATTGTACTTTTTTATCCAAAATTAATGTATCATAAGCATAGTCATTATAAATATGTACTCTGTTAAATACTGAACAAGAATCAAATAAGCGTAAATTTCCAGACGGACAATTTTACAAATCCCTTAACAGCTGAGAGTTGCTGTTTCCTAGTCCTCCATATTAGATTAAAAGATTTCTGGTTCTTGAAGTCAACTTCCTCCTTCCCATTCATTATAAAAGGCACTCATACTTCAGAGCTTTGAATGACTAATGCCAAGACCCCTGGACATTTGCTTGCATGACAGTTTTCAAATATCCTTGGAAACTAGGTCTAAGCATGCTTTAATCCATTATCAGGAAGAAGGCCTCTGCTTGCACGGGTTTGGCTCATTTCTCTTCCCAGTCTTGTTCAGGAGGCAAAAGAAGAAACAAGCACTATGAGATACTGACTATACAAAAGAATCCTCTTATACATGCATTCTTACAGTAATGATGCTCTCCTCATTAAATGAATATTTATTGAACAACCACCAAGAACAAATTACTGTCAACTTTCCATTTGTGTCTGTCCTTTCTCCCTTATTTCGAATCTAAGCATTATCCTAGATTTAATGGAAAGCACATTTGGTATACGGATCAGCATATGTGGGTCTTATAGTCAATAAGAGGTAGAAATGGCAGACTTAAAGCAAGTCACTAAATCTGAGTCTAATTTACTTACTTGCTTTACCCACTTCACTGTACCATCATGGAGAACCAATTGGGAACAAAGATATACAATACTACTATATAACATATGAAAATCTCATGCAAACTTTAAGAAACCTGAAAGATAATTGTGAACTAAATGTACCAACACATTAGGTGTCATTTCCTTTAACCTCAATCTGTGTTACCAGCATGATGTTTGTTTTTCTTTTTACAGAGACCACTACATTCATAAAACCCATTGAAATCAAACACAATTACTTTAAACATCACCATAAAGAAATTGTTTCATCATCTTAGAACGAGACTATTAAATGCTGTATATTATACTTGGAACTGACAAATTCATAAGAAAATAAATGGGGTAATATGGAATTATTTAAAAAAAAAAAGAAGGTTTCTAGGCATTTGCTGGAATTCAATCCTTTGGAAGTTGAATTACCTTGAACCACAGCCCACAATGTAAATAATTTCTCATCTCCATTTTTGCCAAGATAATACAAGATTAATGATCTCTCATGTTCCTATGAAGACTTTAGAATTTCCACATATTTCATTATGTGTGTATATATGGAGAGAAGCCTACTTGAGACAGAAAAGAGAATTCCCTTCAGAACAAAATTTATATTTCAGAGTAGAGACATTGTGAGTCAAGGCAGCTATTTTTGTGGTACTTCCAGACTCTACACATTTATCTCTTTAATTTGGAAAGAAAGCAACATTTTCTTTCCAACTTAGACAGTATATGTCACACAAATTCACACACAAACACTCATATATTGCAACATATAGAAATAAGAGAGAATGAAGAGAGAGAATATGTGTGTGTCTATGTGAAAGAGAAAAAGAGAAAATGAATGCACGGGGGAAAAATATTAGAGAATTTTGCTTCCTTCAAGGATTCAAGAGAAATATTTTTGGAACCTTCAGTAGCCCACAATCATAAACAGTAAATTAAAAACTAAAAAGAAAAAGAAATTGAATGAAGCTCTCACAAGTTTACCTTTGTGATAGCTGAAAAATTGCACATAAGGGAAAACATGTATTAGCGGTTGCTGTGTGCAAATCACTCCTGCAAATACCATACCAAAGATGTATGAGTAATGGTCCTGTCTTCACAGAACTGACCATCTAGACAAATATTAGAAGAGTTTGAACATCTCTTTGAATACTTATTTTGTGTCTGGCTGTTAAGTGTTAGAGAAGGATAGAAAATTGAGTAATAAATTCCATTTTCTATCCCTGCTAAAGGCATCCTTAATAAGATGGCCAAGAGGTACCTTGTGTAAGTTATGACCAAATAGAAGAAGTACTTTGGATTTCTTTGCCTGCCTTAAGGTATTTTAACATAGCTTCACAGGCTTTAGTCTGATGTGAGTGAATGAGAAATGAATGAAGTCATACCTACCTTAAAAGTGGTTGTTATCTTGAAAAAATAATTCATGTATTTAGTATGCAATGGTGTGCTCCACCTGGAGCTATAGCACCATGATTTTGTTCTATGAGAAGGGTTATGGTAAGAATGGATAGAGTCAAAGCTCAGCCTGACTGCATATTTGCTATAAGACTCTCAAGACAGTTAGTAAAAGCAAAACAAAACAAAAACTTCCTCATAGACTTTTTGTAGAAATCAAATCAGATGAAACTGCCCAGTGTAGTGTTGGTCCGTAGTAGGAGTAATGATGATGATAATGATGTTGATAATAATAATATAGATTTACTGAACACCTACTTTATGCAAGACACTAGCCTGGGTATTTTACATATGATATTATTATTTATGGACTAACATTTATTGAATATCTGCTAGGTGTCATTTGCTGCAGGCACATTAGTTCTCTAAATAACAGTTAAAAATCATTTTACAAATAATCAGTAGGATGTGCAGAGAAGGAAATTTACACAGTCGAATTTGCATGTTTAATGAGTGGCCTCCATGATCCACAATTCACTCTCCAGACCACATGCTGTCTGCTGCCCCACGTGAGTTTCCATTTAACGCACCATGTTAAGCAATAAATTCTATTTTACAACAGGCTATTTTAAGCTATTACTTGAAGATTTGATCCCTTCTATCTGAGTAAGATTCACTTATTTGCCCCCATGTCCTGCCTAAATTTATAATGCCAGGAAAAAATAAAAGATGTGAATCTTATATTTCATTGTCTAAATCCCACACAAATTAGTTTCCTCGAAGGTAGGCTGACTGCTAAGTTATTATTCTCATGCTTTCCATTATGCTCTTACCTCTGATGACAACAATTTAAAAAAAATTTACTTATATTGAATCATCAAGTAAAAGAATGTTCTTGTTTAAAGTGACTTCCTCTTAAATAGCAAGGAGAAATTTGGATAGCTAAAGAAAAACAAATGAGAAAGGCCATGAACACTTTCTCAATTAAACAGCTAGCACTTTCTTCATTTCTGAATCAATTTGGTTCATGTAGAAAGACTGAAGACACATATCATGTAAAATAAATTCCCTATTTGTCACATTTCAGGAATCAGCAGCCTTGCCACTCTGGAAGGCAATGCAGATCCGGTTGACATTCCAACACCAAAATAGTCATGTAAGACCCTGAAATTGGCTTCAACACTGGGTTCCATGAATGCTATGATTTGCACCTGTTCCCTGTCATCATCCTCACAAACTGCTCTGTGCCCTGGTCTTGGCTGAACCTCTTTCAGCCCACCTGACCTTTCGGCAGGAAGTTCTTTTGCCTTTTTCCTAACTGCAATTGAAATCTTCAGAGAGAACGTTTCTCATTTTCTTAGTTCTACCCTCCTTTCATCTACTACATATTTGCTGAGATGTCTGCCATGCATCCAGCCAGTCCTGTGATAGGCCCCGAAAAACAACAAGGAACAATATAAGCACAAGTTTCACCTACAGAGACCTTATGGGAGAGTAGAAATAGCAATACAGTAATTAATCAATCAATTAATTGTATGAAGGAAAATCCAGAAGAATATGAGGTTTTTTGGGTTTTTTTTGTTCTGGTTTGGTTTGTTTTTTTTTGAGACAGAGTCTTGCTCTGTCACCCAGGCTGGAGTGCAGTGGTGCCATCTCGGCTCACTGCAACCTCTGCCTTCTGGGTTCAAGCGATTATCCTGCCTCAGCCTCCTGAGTAGCTGGGACTACAGGCGCCCACCACCACGCCCTGCTAATTTTTGTATTTTTAGTAGAGACAGGGTTTCACCATATTGGCCAGGCTGGTCTTGAACTCCTGACCTTGTGATCTGCCTGCCTTGGCATCCCAAAGTGCTGGTATTATAGGTGTAAGCCACCGTGCCCGGCCATATAATATGAAGTTTTAACCGACCTGGAGTAAGCAATGATAATCTGAAGCTGGAAGGGTAAATAAAAGTTAGAGTTGTCTAGGCAACGTCAGTTGCATATGTGGAGGTTCTGAAGCCTTCACACTCGAAAGACAGAAAGCAAATCTATGAGGCAGTGATAAGATGTGAAGATGTTGGCATGATTTATTCATGCTGAGCATTATTGGCCATGTTGTGAATTTTGAACTATATCCAGAAAGCAATGGAGAAACACTGAAGCTCATTAAGCTGGAACTTGTCATGATCAAAAAGACCAGTATGGAGAGTGGACAGAGGTCCAAGTGAAATAAAATAGTTTTTAGCCCTAGGATGGTGAGAAATGACTTCACAGTTGAGAAGTAGAAGATGGCTTGTATTTATTATAAAATGACTCAGATCCACACACATTTATTTCTAAGAGCAACAGGAAGGTGTTGATGGAGATGCCATGTTCAAAACCATGTTTTGAAAATGCCATTCTTGCTACTGTGGAACCAGAGGTGAGTGGATCAAGAAAGACCAGACCTGTGACATGCTTTGAATCAATAACATTCAGCAAGAGGCCAGGTTTAATGTAATTGTGTGGACATGATCACGTTACATGAGATTGTGTCCATCACACCAGAGACTCTCTCTCTTGCTGACTGTGAAGAAGGAAGTTTTCTTATTCTGAGCTGCCAGATGGAAAGGCCATGAAGCAACGTGTGTAGATCGGCCACTCAACACAGTAAACAAAGGAACCGAGACCCTCAGTCCAACCATCTACCAAGATCTGAATGCTGCCAACAGCCAGGAGACCTTAAAACTGGATTCTTGCCCAGTCGAGTCCCAGATGAGACCTCGTCCCTGGATGAAACCTTGATTGCAGCCCATGAGAGGCTGAAGCAGAAGATCTACAGACCTTCTGAATGGATTCCTAACCTACATAACTATGAGATAATAAGTGTGTGTTGTTAACATCCATAAAGTTTGTGGTGACATTGCTACACAGCAATAAACAACTGATATATTCAGTTTTAAATGTGCTGATTGCTGTACAGTTACCTCAATCTCATATGTCCATGTCACATAAGCTGTTTGAGGTGTCGGCCTGGAACTCAGAGGAAAAGTCAGAAATGAGATGTTAATTTTGGAGAGTGAATTAAAAAATAATAATGAAAGAGAGGGTAGGGGTTGTGGAAATAAAGGATAAAGATATTGCCTACAGTAAAGGTAATAGAATAATCAATCCTTTGTTTTAAACAGACTAACTAGCTTAATTCTGAAAATTCATCCTAAGCAAACATATCAGAAAAGAAGATGCGCACTGATGTTTATTAATGCTCAGGGAATTCAGAAGCAGCATACTGACTAAGGTAAATCAGGATAAACTATGACACATAGTGAATGCCTCAGAGCCAGGCAAAACTGACATTTATTGAAATATCACATGCCAAGCACAGCATTTTATCCTTTCACATAATTTTTCTTTTAAAATCTCATTTTAAAGAAAAAGAAACTCAGTTTCAGAGAGGTAAATTCCTTCTCGTGGTTACCTAGTAGTTAGGCAAAGATCCACAATTGTAACCCCTTCTGGCTTCAAAGCCGGAGCTTTTAACTTTGAACGCTTCAAGGAAGCATCAAATCAGACACTGGGGAGCACATTTCTATATTCTCTAAGCTGTCCTAAGCCTAATCTTGGATCCCAGGTATCTAAGCATTTCCCCCTTTAAATTGGCTTCTTTAGTAATAGAAGCTCTGTAGAACTTAAAGCACTATCGAGTTATCTAATAATTCAGGCAAAATCTTAGAATTAATCAAGAATATATTTTCTATTCAAAGCAAATGCCGTGTCTAATATGGCAGAATGTCTCTTCAAACCCCAATATAGCTCTTGTCTCTGAGGCTGTAGAAGAAAACTGCCTTTCTAACCATTGCCAAAAGCACAGCAATAACTACTTTAATCATGATATCTTGAAATAGCTTCTGATCAAATGTGTTTTACTCGATGGATATAATGTAAAAGCTCCCATCCAATATTTAAAATAATCATACACGTTTCCATGCATTTGCCTGCTTGCTCGTTTGAATATCTTGCCAATTGTTTATGAGTACTGAATTGCTTAGATCTAGGAATAAAGAGATGATGTTGAAATGTTTTCCATTTTGCAGATATCCCTCTTTTAGCTATGAAGAAGAGCCCCCGCAGTTGTGTTGACACATCTCTGTTCTACTCACATGGCTTGACTTTCGAGCAGGAGACACTTTGTGCCTACTTCTCAACAGTTCCAAAAATTTTGAGAAATGTCTGCAGGTGCCACAAAAAAGAATGAGATCTTGTCCTTTGTAGAAACATGGATGGAACTGGAGGCCATTATCCTTGGCAAACAAATGTAAGAACAGTAAACCAAATACCGCATATTCTCACTTATAAGTGGGAGCTAGATAATGAGAGCACATGAACACATAGATGGGACCAACACACACTGGGGCCTATTGGAGGGTGAAGGGTGGGAAGAAGGAGAGGCTTGGGAATAAGAAGTCATGGATACTAGGCTTAATACCTGGGTGATGAAATAATCTGTACAACCAACCCCCATGCCACACATTTACCTATGTAACAAACCTGCACATCTTGCACATGTACCCCTGAACTTAAAATAAAATAAGCTGGAAAAAAGAAGTAGTTGCAGGTGCTCTGAGTCATAAGAAAACAAGAAACTTTAATTGATATTCTGCCATGTAAATCTTAAGCAAGCACTGTCCTAGGTGATACCTCCAGACATCCCTGGGGAATTCAGATCATCATCATTTCTGTTATGATGGTCCTTCACATTCTGGGTAAGCCTCAAGGTTGCAAGTTATCCTCCCTGCCAGGCTTTGTGCTCCTTGGAGGCAGGTATGGTTAAGAAAGAATATTTAGAGTATGTATCCTTGACTGGTATATACCAAAACGTAAACATGCATTTTGTATAGCATGTTGCCCACCAAAACAAGAGAAACATACCAGCAGGGCACTCTAGGTATGCAAGCAATCAATATTAATCAGCTTTAAATTTGTAGTGAGATTTTTATCCATTTCACTCCCCTTTTAACTTTTCTGATTAGACTGAAGATAATATATCAATTTTATTATAGTACTGTATGTGTTTAACACCTTTCTGATACATGCTAATACCCCTTTATATAGCAAACAACAAGCAGGCTTGGGGATACGACTTAAGCAGGCAACATTGTCTATAAAAAAGTTAATGATACTTATATATTAACATATATTTTACATTTTATTTCATTTTTTAATCTGGCCTTTGTTTCTACTTATGGCAAGTGATACTAATAGTGAGATAAAGTTTCTTTTTTAAATCAAAATTCATATGAATAAAAACAAGTATAGCAGTTTTTCTTTTATATGACATATCCCATGTAGGTTAATGGCATACTTGATAGCAGACCAAAATACTAGAGGTGAATCTCAAAGAACTAAGAGGTGGATTCAATGCTCTGACCAAGGAAAGTAGCAGGGATTTACAACAAGACCTCGAGAGAGTGAACTCTTAAGCACAAAGTCTTTCTATCTGCAAAGACAGCTTTTATCTATGAGACTTCACTATCTGTTATTGCAGGTATTCAATAAATTTTATTAAATGTATTTGATGAGAACAATTAGAGAAAATATAGAAATGAGAGTTGAAAAAACATGAAACAAGATAAGAAGCAGAACAGTAAACAGTAGAAGGTTTTTTTTTAAATAAATGTAGTTTTAAAAAGTGAATTTCTGTTAGAAAAAAAAGGAAAGTGTGATTAAAATGGGTTAGACACCTCTGAAATATCCCACTGGTGTGGGTTTTCTGTTGGTTTAACTAAGAGATAATGTTGGTCATACGCTTGAAAAACAGCCTTAACTTGAAAGTTCCCACTTAGCTGCCTTGAGCTAGGTACAACTGACCTTTGAGCAACACAGATTTGATTTATATGCAGGGTCCACTTACGTGTGGATTCTGTTCAGCCTCTGCCATCCCTGAGACAGCAAGACCAACTCCTTCTCTTCCTCCTCCTTCTCAGCCTACTCAACATGAAGATAATGAGGATGAAGCACTTTATAATGGTCAACTTCCACGTGATGAATAGTAAGTATATTTTACCTTTCTTATGATTTTTTTTTTTTTTTTGGAGAGGGAGTCTCGCTCTATTGCCCAGGCTGAAGAGCAGTGGCGTGATCTCGGCTCATTGCAACCTCTGCCTCCTGGGTTCAAGTGATTCTCCTGCCTCAGCCTCCCAAGTAGCTGGGACGACAGCTCTGTGCCACCACACCCGGCTAATTTTTGTATTTTTAGTAGAGACAGGGTTTCACCATGTTGGCCAGGCTGGTCTTGAACTCCTGACCTCAGGTGATCCGCCCGCCTCAGCATCCCAAAGTGCTGGGATTACAGGCGTGAGCCACTGCACTTGGACCCTTATGATTTTCTTGACAACATTGCCTTCTATTTAGCTTACTTTATTGTAAGAATGTAGTACAGAATACACACAACATAAAAAACCATGTGTCAATTAACTGCTTATGTTATTGATAAGACTTCTGGTCAACAGTAGGCTATTGGTAGTTAAGTTTTTAGGAAGTCAAAAACTATACATGGAATTCAACTCTGCAAGGGGTTATAACCCTAACCCCTGCATTGTTCAAGGGCCAACTGTATGTAAGGAAAGGCCACCCAAAATAACACATATATTTTTAAAGTCACCTTCCAGAACCAGAAGGAAAAAAAAGGAGGGATGGTAGAGAGGATCAACAAGATAAACGAATATAAGAATGAATATATTCATTGATTCATTTAAATGTCCTGTAATTTTGGTAGACTTAATTTCAAGCCTGTCTGGGGTGTTGAAATAAATAAATCATGCATTGTGTATGAGCCAATTAATGACTACAAAGCAGACAAAACATATCTATGCTGTTAGAAGTCAGGATATCAGTTAATCATGTGACTGGAAGGGGACACAGAATGAGTTTTGTGGGGATGGTGCTATTGTGAATTTTTATTTGGGTGCTGGGTATACAAACCTGTTCAGCTTATGCTGTTATAGATATATGCATTTTACTGTATGGCTATTAAACTTGAATGCAGAATTTAAAAATATGTACGCGGAACAAAAAGAAAATGTAGAAAAGCCTGAACACAAGAATTACTATCTATGTTCATGAGAAATCTAGGTTACTAATGTTCTTAGTGCTAGATTCACATCACATGGTCTCACTTGCTTCGCTGACAGCCTCCCCAAAAAAGGCTTTCACAAGGCACTTAAATAGTGTTTATCAGAACTGTGAGTTGCTGTCAGAGCAGCTCTTAAGACGGATACTGGTATTTCTCCTTTCATTTAAGTTTGACATTGTAACGTGTTACATATACATAAACGTGTGGGAATTGTTTGATATTATTTCATTATCACCTAATGGTAACAGCAGCTCTAATAATTACACAGGAATAGCAATCCAAAAAAAAAAAAAAAAGGAATCTTAGGGTGATTGTCATTATTCCGATTATTCTGTCAAGGTGAGAAAAAGGACAATAAAGACATGCTCGGGAAAGGATTTTGCCCTTTGTTTTCAGTCTCGATCATCTAGTTTTCTTTAACAGTAATTTCAAAAAGAACAAAGCATGGAAGACTGTAGGTTATCTTACATCCATTAATAGGATCTGTGAATATAAATGGATGGAAGAGTGACATTGCAGTCAGCACAGAGTCTTTTTTCTTACTGAACTGAGAATATTCCTTCTCTGGTTCTATCTCCCAGTTCAAGGAGACGCATGATCCTTTCATAAGCCCAGTAGAAGGGGATATCCCACCCTCTACCCTGGTTCTAACTTTCCCAAGGATTTAACGTTTCAGCTCATTGCTTTTATCTGTGCAGCAGTCGATGGCAGACGAAGAAAAAACTTTCGAGTTTGTTCATATTATAGTTTGAAGATATCTACTACCTAGTTCTGATATTCACACCATGCCTTACCCTAAGGAGCCAAGATCTTTCACAAGGCAGACACAAGAGTGATAGTCTATTTTTAAGGCCCATATAATAATAAAAAAAAACTGCATATAATCTGTGTGGATATAAATATTTGTTATCTTTACACACTGTTTACATAGCCAGGAAGAAAGATGCTTTTATATCCTCTTACAGACCAAAGTTCTTTTGAATCCCCCTGGTCACTGTCATCACTGCCACCCAAGGCATCCAGCAGACTACTTTATATTTCTCAGGAAATGTTTGTTTTTAAGAAACATAATACATCTCTCCATTTTATTGAGTTGTCTTCTATAGATAGATGGAAGTATCATCGAAGCCAGAGATGGGAAGTGCCTAAAGATCAGTATGTTTGTAGAACCAGAGACTAAGCAAACCAACAAGAAGTTTCACAGTCTCTCACTTTTTCTTGTCTTGGTTGCCTGCTCCATTTCCACCCACCTCTGCGGGTCCTGGCTTTACCCTTTTACTTTAATAAAGGATCATGCTTGCCTAATGGTTCCCAAGTTCACATATGTTTATGTTGAGCTACTTGGAAAGGTACTGTTTCCACATCCTCCTAGTTTTCCTGGCAAATACCTGCGGTTGAGACTAATTCAACTAGATTTGGTGGAATGTCTGCCTGTGTCCCAGAACAGAAGCAACCTATATAAGCTAACTGCTGGTATTTCACACTGACAATAGAGTGATGCATAGTAACTAGAGAATACACACAGCATGAGTTAGGTAGCCACTCAGCGGATGTTGGACATTCACTGCAGACTTGAAACAGGTTAGAGGGTTGATGACTACACAATATTCATTCCTGTGTTCATTCCCTTTTTCACACAAACTTTCAAACAATAGGAATAAGTAGGTAACATTGGTAATGATAATTTAGTAAACAGATTGTCCATGAACAAATTTTAAAGGATAGGAGTAGGAGGACCAATTTTGAGCAGAAGAAAGGAATTAGGAATAAGTAGGTAACATTGGTAATGATAATTTAGTAAACAGATTGTCCATGAACACATTTTAAAGGATAGGAGTAGGAGGACCAATTTTGAGCAGAAGAAAGGAAAGATAACACCCAGTCTCAGGTGTTATTCTTTATAGCAGTGTGAAAACACACTAATACAGCTGCCATAACAAAATTCCCACAGACCGGGTGGCTTAAACAGCAGAAATTTATTTTCTCACAGTTCTGAAAGCTGGAAGTCCAAGGTCAAGATGCTGGCAGACTTAACTTCTTCTGAGCCTTCTCTCTCTGGCTTGCAGATGGCTTCCCTCTTGCTGCCTTCTCATGTGCTTGTTCATCTGCGCACTTGTGCCCCTGATGTCTCTTTGTGTGTCCGGATTTCCTCTTCATGTAAGGACACCATTCAGACAGCATTAGGACCCACCATGTGACCCCATTTAACCTTCATTACCTCCTTAAAAGTCCCATCTCCAAATGCAATCACAGTCTGAGATACTAAGAGTTATGGATTCAACATATGAATTTGTGGGGAACACAATTCTGATCCCATCACAAACCCACTGTATTTACATTTTTTACTGTAAAAAATGTGTTAATACTTGACTGATATTATAATCTTTATATAATATATAATGTACAACAATCATGCTTGACATATATAATGCCCCCTTCTAAAAATCTACACAGTGTTTTACATGTACCTAGCCTAGAGCAGAAACTAAGTAAACTGTATCTGCTGTGGCTTCATTCTCTATCAATTAAGCTAAACTGAAATTCTGTTTCTAGAACTCCCTTCTCTATATTGCCCTAGTTACTTCTGGCATGAGACGTTGGAAGCAGAAGTGAAGAAGGCAGACAGGAAGTGAGAGCAAGACATCAGGCACTGGGCTCTTGCATGATTCAGCAGATCTGCAAGCTCACCATGTTGGCATGCAGCAACATCCAGGCTCACAGCTCCTCCGGCTTCTTAGGATTTGCACCTTCAGGTTCGCGGAGTCCTAGGCCAGATAAATGTGACTCTCTGTGACAAAGGGCACCAGTTCTCCTGCAGACTACTCAAGGCATGGGAATTTGAAGTATGAGAGACAGATATAGATAGGCTCCACTTTGTCCCCATGGGTTCTAGTTGGTCCTCTGGGATTCCAGTGTATTCCTGGTCTTTCCCACCTCATGTCCAGCTTTTTTCCCATCCCCAGAAGCAGAAGCAACAGCTTTGCACAGATTTCTCTCTCTGCTTCATGACGTATAAGGTCTAATCCCTATAATAACTCTTTTGTTATGTATGTAAGACTGTTACTGGTTCTGACTTTCTGATGGGGAGCCCCTATTCTCATCTGTGATAAGATCATGAGTAAACTACTTTATGATCATATGACTTACTTTTCTCATTTGTAAAATAAGAATAATAAAATTCACCTCCTAAGGTTGTTGGTAGATTGAATGTGTCTGTAGAATGCTTAGGATAGCATTTTGCACATTTATTAAATATTAATCCCTATGTAATATTAAATTAATTAGTCATTATGTTAACCTTAAGCTGATAACATCACTTTGGATTTCAGAAGGAATAATGTACAGACATTTCAAGACTTGCTTCAAAAAGTGTTAACTTTACTTTGTGAACGTCCTCCCACTACTGCTCCATCCCCAATGTATTTCCTGAACTCAAACCACTCTTGTTACTTGCCAAGATTCATAATTGATAGACAATGATGAGATCTGTAAAGTCTGACATGGTTATAAAGAGAAGACTCCTTGAGTCATGCTCCCTGACAAAAGGAAAATGAATGAAATCAGCTGCAACAGTAGCACAAATATGATTAGAATTACTATAAACTCTTTGAGCACAGACACAAGGGATGAAAACTGATTCCCTTAGGATGGGGATGTATATGAGATTATGTGTTCCATGTGATCCCAGGTGATACATAGCTATATATTTTCACCTGCAGCCTCATGTTGTAAATATCTGTTGTCTTTTGTCATGAGGTCTAATAACATATCAAATGCATATATACAAATATATATATACATGTGAAATTACTGGTGGGGAGAATAGAAAAAATTCCATTAAATTCATAAATCTATGATTGCTAATTAGCCAAAGAATAAGTGCATTTGGGTCTAAAAATCAAATGGCAAACTTCAAAGTCCAGTGAATCCAGAAAGTATAATTATTAAGCCCATGACACATGAATGTCAAAGTTAAAGAAATAATAACACATGGATACAAGGAGACTCGAGGAAATCCCCACTACCCATGAGAGGCAAAGTTCTGAGGAAGCGAGGCATACACCAGAAATATATTGACAAAGGTGTCCCACATTCATTTTCAGGCAAGTCTTCAGAATTTCACAAATATGTGTTTCGGAGCTGCCCTGACATGCAGTTAATTCATTTCTCTGACCAGCAAATGCGGACAAAGGCTGAACTCTGTGAGGTTTACTCCCCAGCCCCTTTTAATATATGCTTTCCTGGAATGGTTATGTAATAACAATTTATACTATGGGTGTTCATTCTAATTTACAGAACTCTAGACACACATGTGGCTTGAATAAACAGGAAGATTTGCCTTTTTATCTTCTGGAATCAACAAATATGTTGAATCCTGAAATATTAATTCCCATCTGAGGGCAAAAAGAGGCAAGAAAGAAAACAGGATCATGGGGTTGTCTGTGTAGACTCCTACCTGCTTTCCTCAATCCTCTACCTGTAATACAAAGTTTTTCCTAAGTGTTTTGATTTTTCTTATGATAAGTGCAGATTGACTGATTTGAAAACACTTTTCAATATTTCAAGTACCAGAACATTACTTGAATAGAAAGTGGTTGATGTCTTATTTTCTTCAGAAGGGCTCAGAGAAGGCTCGGTTGAAATGCTGACCATAAAATATATCTCTGAGAACAGAAGAGTAGGGTGCAGTTTTTAGAGAGGAAAACCAATGTATTTAGAAATAGCAAGAGCCAAGATGTGAGTGAGTAGAAAATGTATTTCTAAAGAACATAAAGAGACAATGTTAGGATAATCAAATCGAGTTTAAGATAATTCCAATTAGCAAGCACAGAGATATAACAGGAAAAAATTAAAAGGGAAATAAAACTTAAGCATTAGCTACTACTGTGAATAGGCCTGGGAGCTATTGGTTAATGGGTATATAGCTAAATTGGCTTAAAGACACTAGTTTACAAGACACAGATCAAGATACATCATCAGTGTTGCCTCTTCACTTAGACATTGTTAGTGCTGAGCCAATTCTTTAATCTTAATAAATCTGAAACACCAATTCAAATTATCAGATGCCTATGACTAAGAGATATAGGTTTCTAAATCAAATTGAGGCAACAAATCACAGTCCGCCAGGAATGACACATTGTTTACCTATGGCGGTGGGGTAAGAGGAAGAGATTGTTAAATTTTGTTCCAGTAGGTTCAAATTTCAGGCCTTTTTGTAATTCCTTCAAATATACTTTATGTAATATTCTATTATAGATAACAAAAAATGATACCAATATTATCCCTTGTGAAATCAAGTGATGTTTTTCATCACATTTTCTTGTGATTTATGTCATTCTGAGGAATTTTTATTGGATAGTGACTGAGAATTCATCTTCTAGAAATAATTCAAAGATTTTCTGCTTCCTACTTGAAATTCCTAAGTCCATAGACCAATTGTAAAAGAAGAGTGCACTGGAAACACCCAGCTTATGTTGATAATGGGACCCCAGACAGGGTGAATCTGAGACAGCTCAGACAGCCCTATAGTGAATAGTTCTATAATTTTAACTGTTTTCAAAATGACTGAAAGCGATGTTTCTATAAGACTATAATAAACTTTCCTATGCTATTCTACATTTGTTAGCATAGCTTTATATATATATTTTATACATATAATATATAAGGTTGAGGGTTGGACCACATATTTTTAAATTAAAGAGATCAGGGATGTGGAATTATCAACCTAAGATCCCAAAAACAGTTGGCAGCCCATACAGGGCAATAAAATTGGTTAATTGTATTTTTCTGTTATAAGTTAATTCCTTAATAAAATGTAATATTATAATTTAGGGAGTACAAATGAGCAAATGTTAAAACAAAATCCGATGAAGGAGCTCTCCCATCACAAAAGTTACTCAAATAAACCTTGTTCATATTGTCATCATTGTTTGCAAAGCTTGTTCTCAGACATAATGTAGAAATAACTCAATGCCTCTTGGAAGACTAATGCATTTTAGGCACCCCTAACAATTAACTGTAACCAATTTCCCCGTTTGGATAATCTGGTAATTTCTAAACCATAGACCATTTAGGGAGACCTTTGAATAGCACAAAAATTCACATATTAGAAGCCATTGCTTCACTTTCATTATAAAGTTAAAAAGAAAAAGATTCACTGATTGCATCAACTGCCTACATATCTCTAATAGAAGTTTAGCTTCTTTAAGCAGAAGAGAAACTACAGACTCCTCACCCCATTGTAGAGTTTTGGAACCACAGCTGCCTTAGTCATTCGTATCAGGTAGAACAGCTAGATTTCTTTTGAAAGTGTTTATTTCAATCCTCATGATTTCCCACCCATGTTTTCCTAAAGAATTTCAATTTTGTTCATCACGCTGAATGAAACAAGAAAAAATATAATCAAATCCATCAAGATATGCTTTTCCCGTTTCCCACTTTGCATCTCTCCTTTAAAAATAGAGAAGTGCTGCCAAATTCTTTTAAAATCTAGCCGAGAGGGAGAAAGAAAGACACAACCTATAAATTATAAAAAAGAAATGTGTTAGGTTGAAGACAGTTTGTCAGTATGTACATCCTTTGATCTTTTAAACCTATGTGACACAAATTGTTCCTTTAATAATAAAAAATATGAAAATGAGCCTCTTTAATTATTAGTTCAGAAATATTCTTTATTTTGGAGGATAAAATATGTACTGGGCAATGACAAGAATCACAAGCTAATCCATGTAACCTGTAGTCATCATAATTTACAATTCACTTTTTAGAAAGTGCAAATTTTACTATTTAGCTGCTTGCTAAATTAACATGTGGCCTTTCATAAAACCAAAAATGTATTCTCATTAGATATGTGTCTCTAGAGCTTTTGTGGAGTAAATTTCTGTAATGCCTGCAGGATCCTTTTGAAAAAATAGTTACTGGGGTCATATAAATGAATATGAATTTCCAAAAGAGCATACAATATGTCTAAATCTCCCAAAGAGTATATTAGATGAATTTATCAAATTATGATATACAGTTATACTTTAGAGACTGAAATAGGAAAAGCAGTTTCACTTTCTTTAATTTGGTGTTTATCAAATACATTTATACTTTTTTTTGCACTAAACCAGTTTTGAATACAGATCAGAAAATGTTGCCACCGATCTATTCTGATATAAGAAACAGTAGAAATATACAGACAAATAAAAATACAGAGTATTATGGAGATTCCTGTCTCCATTCTTAACTTCTGCCTTCTGCCTGAACACCTTCTGCTATAAGGTGTGGCTGGGCAAGTTGGGACACCACATAACAACAGGAGGTAGAGGAAGAGTGAGACAGTAGATAAATACTTGTGGGGGGAGTAAGGCGATGGATGAGGTAGCAAATGGAGATAAGCTACTGCAAGGATAAGTGGTGAGCTAATTTATAACTATATTAAAAATAAAGAGATACATTCCTCACTGTTAAAGAAAGGGGAAAAAACCAAAATGAAGCCTGAGTTGTCATTTTAGAATGCAGTTATAGAGCTGAACTTGTAGTTTTCAATAGAGAGATACATAGTGTGTTAGTTTCCCTGGGCTGCCATGACAAATTACCAAAAATGCTGCTTACAACAACAGGAGTTTATTCTCTCAGAAGTCTGGAGTCCAAAATCAAGATGTCAGATCCAACACCAGTTCCCTCCGAAGGATCCTTCTAGGCCCCTTCCAGCTATGTGTGGCTCCTGGTTCTTCTTGGCTGTGGCAGCAAAACTCCAATCTCTGCCTCTGTCCTCAAACAACCTTCTTCCCTGTGTGAGTCTGTATCTTTCCACAGCCTTTTTAGATCGACACCGATCATTGGACTTAGGGCCCAGTCAACTCCAGTGTGACCTCAATTTAACTAATGACATCTGCTAAAACGCTGTTTCTAAATAAGGTCATACGCTAAGGTTCTGAATGGATATCAAGTTTTGGGGAACGCTATCCAACCCAGTACAGGTAGATGTGTGTGTGTGTGAGTGTGTGTGTGTGTGTGTGTGTGTGTGTACATTCTCCCAAATGTTCCTTAGTTCTGCCCTGTCCACTGAAAAGGCTTGGGAACACTGACATCCTAATAACAATGAACACAACTAATGCCCAGACTTTCATATGTAAATACAATTCTCCTTTAAACGGAACCAGATTTTTGTGTGTGTGTAAATGGCTAATTCTAGGGCTGGGCTAGAAAAAGTACAAAATGAGCCTCAAACAGCGCGTTGGGCCAAAAGGTGAGAATGCACTCAAAGAATGATGGAGGCATGTCAGTAGGACACAAAACTCAGCCCCAAGGACACATCGTGACCAAGTGTCAGATAATCTGAGCATCAGGATAAATAACTCAACCTGTTATAATTCATTAAATAAAACAGAAATCGAAAAGTCAAAGCTAATGTAAATAAATACACAAGCAAATTAATGTGAAGAGAAAATTTTCCTTGCAGAAGAATGCTAACCAATGACTGTAGATAGAATGATGGAATTAAGAAAATCACCACTTGGCAGCTCTCATAGTAATCATTAATTCAGCCAAGAAACTTCAATGGATGTTAAAATTTTGGGTTAATAGTTTCATGAGGAATAAGATACTTACATAGTCTCTAAGTATCTGTTCATAAAGTGTTAAGTGCAAAAAGAAAAAAAACTATGATGGAGATGCAGGGCAAACACTTCCTTCATGAAGTGATCAAAATTATTGTCACCAATTATGGAATAAATCAAAATCATGTACCACCTGATACAAATTAGTAAGGCATTATCTGTGATAGTCTTGTCAAAAATGCATATTCTGTATCTAATCCTAAGGAAACATCAGACAAATCTTAAGAAATTCTATAAAACAATTGTTCCACGGTCAGGTGTGAAAGTCATAAGTGAAGAAGACTGCAGAGCCCTTCCAGATTGAATAAGTCTTACGTTAGTGTGGTTCTAGATATGATACTTTTACTAAAACCCACGATATTGGGACAGCTGCAGATTATTTGATGAGGTCTGTGTATTTGATATCAATGGTGTGTCAAGATTAATTTCCTAATTTTGATGATTGTATTTTGTTGGCTTAGAATAACATTCATACAGGAAGACTTACTTAGGAGATGGGTCAAAATGTCAACAATTTACTCTCAAACAGTTCAGAAACAATACATTTGTACAACATTTGCAATTTTTCTCTAAGATTAAATTTATTCTAAATCAAAGATAACAAAATAGCACAAGAGAAATAGTATGTGTTTTCTATGAGCATTCCTCCAAAAGAGGAAAACATAGCCATATTTTACACAAGGAGAAAGACTGAAATTATTTAATAATTTTCACATTAAATTAAGAAGTCGTTGTTCAAGGAGACTTGCCCATCATATACTGACTTCTATAACCTCCTCAGTGAAACCACTTTGGAAAAGACTGAGATTTGCCTTTTTCAACTATATATTTACCTAGTAATTTTTGACCTTCTTCTGATATTTCAATTAATATTTTTTGGTGGAGCATGCATTCCTCTTTTGCATTTGCTACCAAGAAACCCAGAGTCCATTCAAGTTACTCTTGTTAGGCTTTAATATATTTAGCAGTAATTATCACATAGCTCTTCATTAATTTTATTGTTATTTGAATTTCTACGTGATGTATAGTTCTGACATTTTTAAAGTGCTCATATTCCTATATTGAAAATTATATAATACCTCCCTTAAACTTCCTATCCAATTCTCCTCTCAGTACTTCAATTTAATTTGCAAAGTAGGCTGACCTCAAGAGTTCTTCCACCTCGGAAAAACATTAACTATTATAAACATGCTGCAGAATCATAATGCTCTTATAAACAGAATTATCTAGAGATATAATCAAAGATCAGTAGAGCATACTGGTTAAGCCCATGGGAGGTAGAACCAGGTGTCTGGTTTTATATTTCAGCTCAGCCACTTAATATCTGACTTTATATTATGTAGCATTTTCCCTAATTTTCTGATTAAAAATAAAGAATAGAAAAACTAATATCGGTACTAACATAATAGTATTGTTGTGTATATTAGAAGCATTTAACACAGCCTCTGGCATATAGTAAATTCTCAATACGTATTGGTCATCATTACAGTAGCCCTGAACCTCAGAGAAAACTAAGAATACCCCAAGTGTCATGTTTTATGTATCTGTGCACACAACAATGCAATAATTTCTACCAACTTAAACACTACTCTCTTTCTCATCCCTTTATTTCAGCCTTCACTAATATGCTTTTGAGTAAAATAGGATTCATTCCAACATATGCATTTTGAAATATAAAGTTAGGTCTTGTCAAGCAATTTTTCATTAACCCATGTATTCGTATTACACAGGCAATTTATTGAATCATACTGGTAGAAGTAAGTCACAAAGGAATGGTTGTAAAGAAACTAAAGGCCAAGTAGGTAGCACGTTAAATATAATTATTGAATTCCTCCAAACACACTTTTGGGCAGGGATTATTGTATACACTATAGAGATAGAGAAAGTCAAGCTTAGATGGTTTATGCCACTTACGCAAGAAGTCAGATTTGGAGCCAAATAACCTGCAAATCTAAGTCAAAGTAAAAAAAAAAAAGTTCATTTTACTCAAACCCAGGTTTAGCGAACAATCAGGATTAAAATACACTTGACCCCAATACACAAAAACAATCCAAATATATATTTAAAATGTCTAGAACTTACTAAAGGTAGGGACATTTGCATTGAAAAACCAACTTCAGCAACGCTAGTTTGGGATCCACAGTTAAAATCAGACAAGCTCACAAGCTCATCAAGTCATGAAATTCACAGTAGAATAAAAAAGAACTGTGTCTCCAGCTTCCAAATAAGATATTTCTAAAATAATTTGGCTGCCATTTGGGCAAATATATATGTGCGTTTTGTCTTGACAGCCTGTCAACTGGAAGACAGTTCTCAAACATCACATTCATTTCAATTTAATATTGGTAAATTTCTCAATTAGAATTGTATTCTTCACTTTCTGCACAATGAAATCCCTCAGCCTTTGCTGGCATTCCTCAGGGCATACAGGTGCACGTGCTGGCATTTCTGCCACAGCGAAGGAAGAAAAATGAAAGAAGGAAGGAGGGGAGGGAAGAGACAGGCTAAGGAAGAACAGTGGTAAGAGGAAGAAAAAAGCGATGGTAGCTGACCTTCTTCCAGATATTCACCTTCATGAGAAATGAAGGGAATAATTCACACTTCGCAATGAAATAATGCAGCCGCCTCTGCTTCCTTTAACCAGAGAGGCTGTAGTCACACAGACACCAGACATCCAATGCATAAAATCGATATATAAGGAAAGGTCCAAAGGTAAGGTGGGAAACAGATTAATAAAAATAATTTTAAAGCCATAAACAACAACCAATTGTGGAACACTTATTTACTTTTTGGCATACCTTTACATTGTACTTTGTCATGCAAGTCCCACACAATGAAAGCAACATAAAAGTTATTATCCTTGCTTTATAGCTAAGGAAAATGGCAAAAATTTAACCTCCCCAAACTTCATAGTCAACCTGATAATAAGGGATAGAACCAGGGTTCAAACTCCCACCAGAAACTTCAACACATCCTCTGTGGTTTTTGGAAGATATGTCGCAGGCTAAAGATATATAATACATATATATCTTTATTATATATATAATATAATATATAAATATATATAACATACATAACTATGAATTCTATATACAACATATATATGTTAGTGTGGATTATTGAAATGTCTACTCTATTAGCAAAAACATTTTAGATGGAGAAATATATACATGTGTATGTATGTATTTACAAGTGCATAAAGGCACTTCATTACGTAGCTGATAATTTTTTTTTTTGAGACGGAGTCTCGCACTGTCTCCCAGGCTGGAGTGCAGTGGCACAATCTCCGCTCACTGCAACCTCCACCTCCCAGGTTCAAGTGAACCCCCTGCCTCAGCCTCCCGAGTAGCTGGGATTACAGGCATATGCCACCACACCCAGCTAATTTTTGTATTTTTAGTAGGGACAGGATTTCACCATGTTGGCTGCTAGTAATATATTTTAAGTCCTTTTCTTATCTGAAAATGGACTTGATGTTTGCAGATATTTCTGCAGTTTTCTTTCTTAACATATTTATAAGACACATGACTTACATACACAGAAATGAGAGCCTCTGACACACAATCAATAGATATAGGCTTGGCATGAAGATGTAGAAATCATAATGAGGCAAAAATAACAGCTTCTCTGTTCAATGTTTATTAACAATTAAGATAAAGTGTGCTGTATGTTTTGTGGGCAGCAATCATTCATCAAAACCATCTTACTCTAATCTAGATGAAAGGATGAATTAGAGAGTTCTCTGGCCTAAATGAAATGACCAAACAATATGAAAAAAAGTGAAATATATATATAGTGTTTCTCAGTTCCTGTTTGTAAGTCAGAAGCCAAACGAAGTGAAAAGATGGAGGTGTTTTTGCTTGCTTGTGTGTTTTTTATGTGTGTGTGGGGGTGGTGATGGCAGAAAGATAACTTTCTGAGAGAAAAACACAGACATTTTCCTAGGAAAAGTGTCATTCCAGCCAGCCATAAAGAAACAATTTTGGGCCAGGCGCGGTGGTTCACAACTGTAATCCCAGCACTTTGGAAGGCTGAAGGGGGCAGATCACGAGGTCAGGAGTTCAAAAGCAGCCTGACCAACGTGGTAAAACCACGTCTCTACTTAAAATACAAAAATTAGCCGGGCATGGTGACATGTGCCTGTAATCCCAGCTACTTAGGAGGCTGAGGCAGGAGAATGGCATGAAACAGGGAGGCGGAGTTTGCAGTGAGCAGAGATGGTGCCATTGCACTCCAGCCTGGGAAACAAAATAAGACTCTGTCTCAAAAAAAAAAGAAGTAGTAATTTTGATAAGAAGGAAAAAAAAATAGAGCTCCTTTCACAAGAGGTAGATAAAGTGGAGTCTTGGCAGAAGAAATATATGGATAACAAATCAAGACCTGAAATCACTTGTGATTTGCTGCCGAATGGGTGTATCTACCAAAGTCATATTGTAGGTAGGTAAGAAAAGAATCAAATGAAGCAGACCATGAAAAGTCCCCCTGGGTAAGTAGCTGAACACCTATAAAATGTAAGGGATATTTTTTCCTCTGGGATAAACACATATATCAGCTAAGAAATAACATGGTTAGAATCAAGCACACTATTTGGAAAATTACTGAGATCATCAATAATCCAGTGAGGGTCATTAAGATATGATTTTGGAGAGTGGTCGAAAGAAAGAAATGAGATGATGCATTAAGATTACACAGCAGTCAGTAGTGACTGGAATTAGGGATTAAATGAGCAGACTACTGGTGAGGCTTAATGAGTAAAAACAGATTCAACAATATCGCTTCCATGTTGTACGTGGGATTTGAGAGTGCATCAGAGTCATTGATAAAGTCATGGAAGTCAGAAAGCAGGAAAAAAAAATTCATGAAAGTAATTAGTTTGATTTTTTTTTTCTACCCAAAAGTGACTGCTATGCCATTTTGGGATATTCTGTCTAGTCATTTTTTCTATGCATTTTTTAAAATTATACTTTAAGTTCTGGGATACATGTGCAGAATGTGCAGGTTTGTTACATAGGTATGCACGTGCCATGGTGATTTGCTGCACCCATCAACCAATCATCTACATTAGGTATTTATCCTAACGCTATCCCTCCTCTGGCTCCCCACACCCTGACAGGCCCCGGTGTGTGATGTTTCCTTCCCTGTGTCCATGTGTTCTTATTGTTCAACTCCCACTTATGAGTGAGAACATACAGTGTTTTGTTTTCTGTTCCTGTGTTAGTTCACTGAGAATGATGGTTTCCAGCTTCAGCCATGTACATAGTTTGATTTTTAATGTGAAATTTGAGCTGTCTTTGAAATATCCAGATGATAATGTTCATAAAGCAACTGACAATGTGGATTAACAGCTTAAGCAGACCAATGGGGCAAGGCATATGATTTTACGGCCAGCCACATTAAACAAGTGGCTGAAGATACAGGGGTGACCATGAAAGACAATGGAGGGAAGGAGAGAGAAAAGGAAACGGCAAGGGGATAAAGAGAAGAAGAAACAGGAGGAGAAAATGAAGGAGGAGAACTAATGGAGAAGGGTGAGAAAGAGGAAGAGGGATAGGAAAAGGTATTATGGGGAAGAAAAAAGAACTCTGAGGAACAAAATCACCTTAAGGAGTACGCGACAAAATAAGAGAAAGTCATTCAAACATAAAACAGATCAAGTCAAGGAGAACAACTAGGATATTCTCTTTCTCAGAAATGCCTGAGAATAACTTACTTGCAAATTAAGTCATTTATTCTACAAAAGATTTTTCTTTATTTGAAATTTAAATTCCAACTAATTTCCATCAGGAATGTTATAAAGACACACACACACACACACACACACACACACACACACGAGTATCTCACTGGATTGCTAAATTAAAATATCAGGACCACATTTGGGAGGTAAGGCATTCTGTACTATACCTGACAATGGTCACCCAATTTAGCCTTGAAAACCATAATCAATACTTGGCCTTTATTTGTGTCTAAAGTGAAGATGTTATTGAAGACACTATATGTCTGTATACTTCCTCTGGTGTTCATATCTTTATTTATTTGCAATTTTCTTGAGCAACTTAATTTTATAAAACTTGAGAACAGGGTTCTTGATCATATTTCTTTTTTTTATTTTTTCTCGCAGTTCCTTTAATGTTAAGTTTGGGGGCTTTAAATAATGAATATACATGTCTGTATTTACCAAATTCTGGCTTCCAATTTATCTCTACCTGTGTTTATTTGTCTCACCTTGTTCACCTGCTTCAAAGCTATGTGACTTTACTACATAGCATGCACCCTTATAGGCTGTCTTAAATGCAACTTGAAACAAACTTGGATATGTACTACACATTTTAAAAAATGGCTTTTGTAATCTTATACTTTGAACTTTAGATTCTGCCTACTACTTTTATCATACAAGGAAGAGCTCTAAAATCCTTCCTTTTATTATAGAATGTCTGGGTTGAGGGGTTTCTTATCATCATGGCAGGGGTTTAGGGATAGATAAGCAGATTCCAAAGAGGGAGAAACAAGAATAAAATCATGTTTGAAATACAGACTGCTCTGTAATATGTGATGGAGTCTTCAATGACTCAGAAAAATTGAGAGTGGGTCAATGGTACTAGCAGTCACTCCTAAAAAATGTTGTTAAGATGGACACAAATACAGAGGCCCTTGGTAATGTCGATTGCCTAATCCACCCTAGACATGAACCACTAGAGCAACCTAATATCTGGCTGACTACAGACCTAGATGACTTTCTGTTTCTCTGTGTGCTGCATCTGCATGTGAATATACACAAACAAATAATTAAACATCAAGCAAATATCAACAGGATTAGCTTGGCATGTTAGAACAAATCTTGATAAATCTGCCTCAGTAACAATACTCAAACTACAAGTCTATGAGAGGAATACAAATTCAGCTTATTGAAGTATTGTCATGTAAGGAAAGATATTTTAATAAAATTGCTCTTCCATCAGTTCCTGTTACTAAGGGACTAAAGCTACTGAGCTGTGGAACTTAGGCCAAAAAGGGGGATTTGGAAATGCAAATTAGAGATAAGGTGGTAATAAATGTCTTTCATTCAGCAATACACCATCCTTGATGCCAGGAGCTATTCTAAAGATGACTTTTAATAGATCTGTGAAATTGGAAGCATACATACCCAAAATGGACATTTCTGGCACAGTAGCATGATAGGGTCCATTAAGAAACTCTGGTGCATTGTCATTGATGTCTTGAACTTTAATAATAAATTCAGAAGGAGGCTCCAGAGGTTTGCTTGTCTCCCAGTCCACTGCTTGAGCTGTTAGGGTATACTCAGCCTTTTCCTCCCGGTCAAGTCTTTTTATAGCATGGATATCTCCAGTTACATCATTTATTTGAAATATGGTCCCAGCTCCATCACCTGATAGGATATACTTGATTTTTTTGCTCCCAGGATCCAGGTCTGTGTGTAGCTGAAATGAAAAATGGCATTAGTTAGTGATGGAGCAATCTGAAAAGTTATTTTTTTAACTACCTCCTTTTTGAATATTAAGTTGGTTCTTTTTACATAACATCATCAATTTCTGCTAATAGTAGCTGTACAAAGTGTATGCAGCTGTGCGGATATCAATTAAGAATAAAATATAATGAAATTCATCTAAATAAGTTAGAACAGTCCTTAAAAAGTACTCTGGCCTGTTTAGTATAAAACAACATGCTTTTAGAATGATAAAAAGGTCAAGGAGAAAAATACAAAAATATATGTGTTATTTTCCATTTATTACATTTGCTTAAATTATTATGATTAGTCACCTTTTATGGGTCACTATCTGTATGCCCAGGACTAGGTGAATCACTTCTCATATAATCATATCCTTTTTATTTAAAAAACTGGGTTAAGAATATTTCATATGACACATAAGAAAACTGATGCTGAACGAGGCACATATTTACCTCTCCAAGGTTTATATTTGACAGACTCAAGTATGGTAGATCCAGAATTCAACTCAGATCTGCCTGTGATGTTTATACAAACAAAAGTAATTCTAATATATTGACTGATATTAAGATATTATGTTTTTGAAAGTCTTTTTTCCTTTAGTTCTGACAATTCGTCTAGTCCAGGAAAATCATTCCCATTTTATAGAGAAGAACACTGAGGCCAGAATTTAGGAGTACATTTTCCAGAAATGGAACCCCTTCAGAAAATGACAACTTTTCACCATGAACCCAAATCCATTTTTGGTCATAGCAATGAATATTTACTGAATTTGTGTGTCAGGCAAATAGTCTGCCTAAAACATTTTGGTAGGTACCAGGGAAAACAGAATCCCTGGTTTTAAGGTTCTGACAATTTTCTCTCAGGCTGGAGACAGGAGTATTCTAATATTATACACGGTGTCTCTCCTGTTTTAAAAAACTAAAATAAAATAAAACAATAATATATGTATTTGGGGGTTTGAATTTTTAAAAGAAAAGCCCATTGCGATGTACTACTTCAATGTACATATTTTCAGTTTAACTCAGTTACTTAACTGCCAATATAGTTCCAGTTGAGATTTCAAATATTTGTTCCAAAAAAAAAAAAAAAAAACCGCCTTGTGGAAAGAAACTCCTAGAAATTCAAAAGATGCTGTGTTCTCTTGGGATCCCTTTTATTCAGAACAGCCTCTTTCACGTTCTTCAACAATTTAAATTGTATTAAGCCCTTCAATAAGTGAAAAGAAAGGCTTATAAAAAAGACATAAAATAGCAACAAAGATTCCAAATGCATCTAGATCTCCTACTTTACTTTTGAATATTTTTTAAAGTTAAAGCATAAGATTACATCAAATATTTATTGATTCTCAAAATGTATCCCTTTCATTTATTGTATAAAATGTATTAACATGAACAAATATTGAAATGCCACTTTATCTTAATGAATGTGGGATTATAATTCATTAATGTGATATTAATCCTAATTTAGGATCATTTTAATTTATGCACATGTTAACATTTTCATTAGCATTTTTATTAAAAAAATTTGAATAATATATAATTCATGGAAGTTTCCATTCACATACAAGGAGTTCTTGAGACACAGAAGGGATCAGTATGTATCATTTTTGTCCACAAAACTTTGTTAATTAACAAATAAACTATTACATTTGGTGTCATTATTATTTATGTTAAAACTTATTTGTGCCATATTTTCTTCTAATTATCAATAGCCTCTGATTATTAAATGATATTACAATTTTATGTTTCAATGCTCCCTTCTGTTAAAATTAACTAAGAGAAGTAACTAATGATAAAAAAGAAGCATAGGTTTTTGTTTGTTTGTTTTGTTTTGTTTTTTGAGACGGAGTCTCGCTCTGTCGCCCAGGCTGGAGTGCAGTGACGCGATCTCAGCTCATTGCAAGCTCCGCCTGCCGGGTTGACGCCATTCTCCTGCCTCAGCCGCCCGAGTAGCTGGGATTACAGGCGCCCGCCACGGCGCCCGGCTAATTTTTTGTATTTTTAGTAGAGACAGGGTTTCACTGTGGTCTTGATCTCCTGACCTTGTGATCCACCCACCTCGGCCTCCCAAAGTGCTGGGATTACAGGCGTGAGCCACCTCGCCCGGCGAAGCATAGGTTTTTGAAAGAACAAAACACAAAGCTAAGATTCTGGTTTCTCTAACTACATGAACTGAAGAAATTCACTCATTTATTTGTGTTTCAGTTACTTTGCCTAGAAGACGGGGATAAAGCATCTATCTGCAGAACTGATTTTAGAAACTGAAACCATCCAGCTATCCGAAAATTATTAAAACAGAGAAGAGGCACTATTAAGTGACCATTTTTACTTCATATCACATTCAGTCATATGCAACTATCTGAAAACATTGTGATAATCCCAGTTCCAATGTAAGTGAAAGTAAATTCTCAAGACTCCATTCAAAAACAGCTTTTAAATATACAGCACTTTTTAAAAAAAAAAAAATGAGGTATATACGTCCTCTTTCTTTCAGAAATTTCACTTTTAGCTTATCCAAGTAAAATCCAGATCCTGGGGCCAATGATAATCTCAGAACACAATATATGTATGTTCATTTATTTCATCCTATTATTTGTATCACACACACTGACACACACAGACATGTACATACTCTTGCACATGACTTGTTCAGGTAACCAACTTGATAATATAAGAAAAGACTGTAGGTGTGCAAAACCAGCAATTTACAGAGAGCAACGTCACCTGAGGCTGCAGGTCTGGCCCTCCAAGTACAGAATACATGGTTACAAGCTGTGGCTTTTTCTGTCAGTCTTCACATAAGTGTGTCATATCATATTCACTTAAATGCAACAACACTGCCTGGTCAACGTACGCCCCCTAAGAACCTCCTCTCTGAGATTATGGCGCCAAAGATATCCCAAATGCACTGAATGTTCACATATGTGCATCATGTAGAGCAGGGATCCCCAATTTCTAGGCCATGAACTAATTCTGGTCCAGGCCTCAGGGCAGGAGGTGAGCAGCAGATGAGCGAACATTACTGCTTAAAAAATACTCTGGACTGTTTGGTATAAACCAAAATGCTTTTAAAATGATTTTAAAAGAAAGGTCAAGGAGAAAAATACAAAAATATAAGTGTTATTTTCAACTTATTGATACATTTCTTGAAAGTGATTATGATTAGCTACCTTTTATGGGTCACTATCTGTGTGATAAGGGCTATGTGAATCACTTCTCATGTAATCATTTCCTTTTTAGAAACAAAATGAGCTAAGAATATTTCATGTGAAACATATAAAACACAGAGCGGATACATGGTTACAAGCTGCTGTTTTTTCTGCTGCTCTTCACGTAAGGGTGTTATACCTTGTTCACATAAAGGCAACAACACTGCCCTGTCAACATATCCACCCAGAACCCTTTGTCAGATCAGCAGTGGCATTAGATTCTCATAGGAGCAGGAACCCTATTGTGAACTGCACATGCATGGGATCTAGGTTGCATGCTCCTTATGAGAATCTAATGCCTGATGATCGGAGGTGGATTCGTTTCATCTGGAAACCAAATTCCCACCTTTTCCAGTCTGTAGAAAAATTGTCTTCCACAAAACTGGTCCTTGGTGCCAAAAAGGCTGGGGAAGGGTGATCTAGAGAAACGAGTGCCATCTCTTCCAAGGGCTGCTTCTGCTCATCAGAGTGGGATCAGAATCACATGCAATCCCGCCTGGGCAGGTAGGACTCATTCAGCTGGCTGTAGTACAATAAGATCTCATCCATTCATTCGATAAACCCCATGCTCTTCTCTGTCTTAGGGAGACACAGACAAAGTCTCTGCTCTCAGAATACCATAATTTTGTGGGAGACAGAAACAAATAAACAGAAAATTTAGGGGAAATAGAGCCATTAATATATTAATATTTTAGTAAACTACATAGTAATATATTGTTAATATATGTAATTAATATATTTAATTATGGTTATTATTAATGTATTGACTATTTATTACCTGGTAAACATTTCATATTTATAATGTTATATTCACAGCAAACTAAAGATGATTTCTTCATTTTACCAATGAGATTACTGAGATTGAGAGATTTTCACGGAACTTTCCCAGAGAGTTTATAATCTGCAAGTAGCAAACTTAATGGCACAAATTTTGGAGTTCATTTCTGGATTCAAATGTATGCTGTAAGAGCCATGCTAAGAGAGGAACTGGGGACTGTGAGAGCATACAGAAATTTTACTTAACTCAGAAAATGGGGTATAGAGGGACAGAAAGTCCACCCCAAAGAAGTAATGATTAAAACTTCAGGGGCAGGAGAATCGTTGAACCCCGGAGGTGGAGGTTGCAGTGAGCCAAGATCGTACCATTCCACTCCAGCCTGGGCGACAGAGCAAGACTCCGTCTTGAAAAAAAAGAAAAAAGAAAAAAAAAAGCTTCAGATCTCAACATTGGAGAAAATGTGTGCCAAGCACAGGGAATATTGTGGGTAAAAATGCAGAGATGAGAGAGAGCATAGTATGGGAGAGAAACTAATAGATAGAGCAAGGAATTGAGGAAAAGAAAGGTAATAAGAAATAAGAATAAGAGAGCAAGACAGGGGCCACATTACACAGAGTTGTGAAACCAAGATACAGGGTATGGATTTAACTATAAATGTGACAAGAAACCATAAATAAATGGTTTCAAAAAGGAGTTTGACTTCATAATAGTTTTGTTGTAGTATATTGCAGTGATTGGTGTGTGCTTACAAGCAAACAATATGGAAGCAAAGAGAAAGGGGAGGTCAGGAAAAAAACATAGACACCATTCTCAAAGCTTCCTTAATTCTGATTCTCGAGGCCAGCCTAGCATCCAGGATCTGGCACGTTTACAACCAGATGAATCCTCAAACCCTCTGGCCACCCACTGCAGCCTGGTTGGAGAAGCAGAGAGTATCAAGTGTGCAATGAATAATCCCAGTCATATACAGTAAGCCTTCAATTTCAGGAATTCTAACAGGACTGCTACATAATGGAGCTGAATTGTGTGTATCAGCACCATTATACCCTCATCATCTTCCATATATTTGCCTAACACCATCCAATTAAAAGACAAGATTTTACTATAAAAGTTTCATGGGAAGAATCACCTGCATTTCATTCTCCTTTGTATTTCCTCTGCCTAGTAAGGTATCTGGCATATTGTTGGAAGCCCAGTAAATATTTGTGGAGTAAAGTGAAAATAAAGGAATGGAAAGAAAGGAGATTTTTCCATTTATTTTCAAAACAATGATTGTAAAAAGAAGACAAAGGAATTTAGAAAAATTATTCCCAGGGCCCTAAAATCTTATCTGCTATAAATGCAAAGCCCTCGCATTTCCTCACATATGTATTCAAATTTAGCATCCAACATAGGAATTAAGACGTTTTAAAGGAGCTGATGGAAGAAAAGATGGGTAGGTGATAGATGGGTAATGGATGAATAATGGATGATAGATGCCAATTATCTTGTACACAGTCATCACTGCTTTCAAAATCAGAGTAAGAACCCTGGTCTTCAGTATCATTCATATCCTTCTCAAGGTTGCACACACTGATTGTGAAAAAATAATGCAAATTACTTTTTCATCCTCTTACACAGGATTCTTCAGGAGCCTAAAGTAATCCTAGGACAACAGCACCAAGAGTAGAAAAATACTCCTTTGTGAGTAGCTATCTTAATACCAAATCTACTCAGTTACCAGAGAAGATCAGACTGGGCCACTCTGCCTACCTCTTCCTCTAGAATAAGATGAGGATTGGGATTGAGTAAATTACACAGGAAATTGCTTCCACATTTGAAAATCAGGTAGCTCTGACATCAAAACTTCTTTTGAAGTTTCACTCTATCAAGAAGGACATCATGGGAAAGTTTCTCCAAGTACCTAAGGGCCAGACATGGTGGTTCATGCTTGTAATCCCAACACTTAGAGAGGCTGAGGTGGGCAGATTGCTTGAGCCCAGGAATTCGAGGCCAGCCTGAGCAACAAAGTGAGACCCTGTATCTAAAAAAAATAGAAAAAATTAGCTGGGCATGGTGGTGCACGCCTGCAGTCCCAGCTACCCAGGAGGCCAAGGTGGGAAGATCACGTGAGCCTGGGTGTCAAGGCTGCAGTAAGCCATGATTGCACCACTGCACTCCAACCTAGCTGACAGAGTGAGACCCTGTTGCAAAAAAAAAAAAAAGTTAAGTAAAGAAATATATAACTTACTGGGGAGAAAACCTACACCTTTTAGAACCCAAAGAGTTAACAGGGGCCAGACACGGTGGCTCACGCCTGTAATCCCAGCACTTTGGGAGGCCCAGGTGGGCGGATCACGAGGTCAGGAGATCGAGACCATCCTGGCTAACACGGTGAAACCCTGTCTCTACTAAAATACAAAAAATTAGCTGGTCATGGTGGCTGGTGCCTGTAGTCCCAGCTATTCAGGAGGCTGAGGCAGGAGAATGGTGTGAACCCTGGAGGTGGAGCTTGCAGTGAGCCAATATTGCGCCACTGCACTCCAGCCTGCGCGACAGAGTGAGACTCAGTCTCAAAAAAAAAAAAAAAAAAAAAGAGTTAACTGATCACTGCAACATGAATCTCTGTCATATATTGATCCCAATTTTTCATTAATCTGTTCACCCTTAGAGAGGAGAGCAAGCTTAGCACTCCTGAATCAAATTACATCTTAGCATTATTTTCTCCAAATCATGCCTGTCAGGCAGAAAGAGAGAAACTGGGCAGCTGGCTATCAAGCTGTCAGTGAATTAATTACTATCCTTAACTCAGAGCCATTCAATATCAAAGATGGGACCAGGGACTTTGACATGATATTAGTTTTGGGCCCAAGTCTCCCAAATGATAAGCATATAGGACTTCAATCTAGAGCAGACAAGTGTTTAGGCTACTAGGACAGCGAAAGGGCAGGAAGGAGAAAGAAAAGGAGGAGCTGAAGACTTCTCTGCATGTTTCTGAACTGCTACCAAAAAGATCAGGAGTAAGCCTTGAAATTGACTCATGTTAACTTCCATTCAGCCTTCTTTCATACTACAGAATATCTCACAATGAATGTTACCAAATGTGAAATGGACCATTCAAGAAACATTGTTTTCAGGGAGAACTGAACACCCACTTGTGATTGATGCTTTGGAGCTGAATAAAGCATCATGTGATGGTGGTAGATGGAGTGGGAGGAGGGAGGCTTCAGGCTGCACCACATAATTGGGAAAATGCCTTTATATGCTGAAATGTCTTACTGCTACAGTCAATCTAAATAAGGCAAATATAGTTATCTTTCATTCGGTCCTTCCATTCTTAATAAGTTGCAGAAACAAATTACATCATAAAATTAAAGCTAGGCAATAAGCATACGAATACCCCAAAATTTTAGTTAAAATTAAGTTTGGAATATGCAATGACCCTCATGATCACATAGTCTAAGGAAAAAATATTTCTGTGAAATAAAAACACTTCTCAAGGTAATTCTCATATTATACCAAAGTACCCTTAAATTTGTCTTACAAAGTGAAAGGCTAAAGGAGAAATAATCCTTGATCAAATGAAAAGAACATAGTATCCAACACTGGAAATAACCTCTGCTCTACGAAAAAAAAAAGAAAGAAAAATATTTAACATTTTATGGCAGGCAAATGTGTAGCATTTGGTATCTCAGACATGCTTTCCTTCCATTCTGTGTCAGCTGCTGGTGTGAGCGTTGAACAGCTTGACCTGGCCATGGGGACCGGTGCCCAGAGAAATAGAAAATTGAAAACATGCCCAAATGAACTGCTGTTTTTGGCTGTGGACACCTGGAAAAAAGTCAAAGAATGGAATGCACTGCTTGTGCTACTCTTTTAAATGGTAAGTTCCACAAGTGCAAGCCCTCTATGTGCATTATTCATCACTATACCAAACAACCAGCATGGTACTTGGCACATATTAGGTGTTCATTAAAGACTAACTTTTTGTCTCCATAAGACATATCTCAATACCCTACACCTTGTCGGTGATTCTACACAGATGAATGGCTTAGGTGACATAACTGGATGTAATCCATTGAGTCAGATTCCAGAACTTATGTACTTTGGCATAATTTTATAAAGACCCTCAGGAAAGCATGAATAGTAAGTCTGAAGACCTCCTGATTCTCTAGAGGAGGAGTAGACAGAATAGAGAAGCCTCTCTACTTTGCTCCTAAATGGCAATAGAAATGTAACATATACATTTAGAAGCCATGTGTATGAAACCACATGGTCTAGGCACCTTCTGTAAACCAATCTGTCCTGTAAAATTTTGAAATAGAATAAACCTAGAAATAGAAAGGCAGTATACCCAAAAACTCAGCTAATAGAAGTGCAAAGAGAGAATATTTGACAAGGAGAGGCTGGCAAGCTTTTTCCCAGGAGAATTCCCAAGCCAGTGTTCATGGCCTTGGCAAATTTTCTACTATCTTCGGTCTGGACCGCAGTTTTACGGGTTTGGAAACAACATGTGTCAGCCCTATAGCAAATCCGTTGCTTGTAGCTAGACTCCAATAAAGTTCACAAATCTCATTTTTTTATAAAAAATATAATTTCTAAGATTCTTAAATACTTATTATGATGAGCAAATTATTTTTATATAAGAACCCACACACAAATGAAACCTTTTTGATAGAATTCAGAGAAAGGAGAATTAGATGGATTAATTCTGTAATTATGCCAGAAAATAAAATCACTTAAATATGCCCATTTAATTTTTTTAAAAGGTCTTAAAAATACATCAAGAATGCTCAAATTCTATATTCTTAGAATTTCTCTTTTTCTTTGCATTCTGTGTTGGAAACTCCAATATTTAACCAAGCAGCCACAAAAAAAAAAAAAAGGCAACAGAAATCACTTCTTTGGATACATATTTTCTTATGTATGCTGATAATAGTCTGATTAAAATATTAAATCTTATGGGCTTGGAAATCAATATGTTTCTCTAAGACAAGCAAAGATTTAAAAGTGTTCAGACTGTGGGATCTAGAATAAGAGTCTGATAAGAAATAGAGGTAGATTGGAACAAATATACTGAGAAATTTACTTAACCTCTCCAAGACTAGTTTCCTTATTTGCAAGATAGTTTAATAACAGTACTTGTCCTTTAGAGTTCTTGTCATTATTAACATTAGATAATAGATAATGCTGTTAAAGGCACGATATGTCCCAGAAACTATGATATTCAAATAAAAAGGCATATAGGGTGGACTCTTATGGGGATTAAATTTAGGAAATATAATGATGAGTCTGCCCAATCTGGAATTACTTTCCAAGAAAAGTATGCCTATCAACGTATTCGGGGTTAGAATTCAATATACAACATTGATTTGTAGTAAAAATAAGAATGTAACTTCTTGAATTAAATTATCTGGATACAATCTGAGCTTAACGTCTTACATTGGGCAAGTTACTTAATAAATACATGTTTGGTACTTATTCACCCATTCAATAAGCAATGATATAAAATATATCTGGAAGGTTTTATTTCTTGTTTACTTAATAATTATAAGCCTAGACATGGGAAGAGGGTGGTCGATGTGCACTGGGTCAGTGAATAAATACTTGAGTGGGCAAGAGTGTGAGTGAATAGTAATAGTGGGTCAATTACTGAAAAGAGATTTAGGTGAATAACTCCAAGAGTGGAAGGATGGACGGATGGATGGATGGATGGATGAATGGATGGATAGATAGATGGATCAATAACTGATTGATAAGAGAACTAAGGGGAAGAATATGGGTGGATGAGTGATTTTATTGGAGAATGCATGGATGAAGGGCATAGTAATAAAGCGATTACTAACTAAATGAGATTCTCAGCCATCCTTCCATTTATGTTTCAATGCACATTAAATGTTTTAAACAAATGGATGAATAAACTAATAGATGCACTGGTGAGTGGGTAGGCTTCAAGAACCACAGTGTCTATCGCGAAAGATAGATCTGGGAAAAAAACTAACAAGTTATTCTTTCCCAGGGTGTTACTCCTTATTTTGCACTAAAGCAGGCATAGGCGTTGGAAGTTAAACTTTAATTCCAAGAGATTCTTCTATAAAGAGTTTTGGTACATATTTGATTTTCATCAACACAATATCTCTTTATGAATTCCCTAAACCCCCCCCCACCACCTCTCTCTCTTTTTCACTCTTGATAGGTAGATGAATAGAGATATAGATATGTGTATAGATATGGATACCGATATCCATCCATTCTATAAAGAAAGCAGAAGTTTTCAACAAATAAACACCCAGTGAAGTAATAAATGATGAAATAAGAATAAGACTGAAAAATACACCCAGGTTTATCAGCCAAACAAAAGAAGTGGATCTTACAGAGATATGGATATTTAACACAGATAAAACAGATATTCAGAAAATTTTCCAAAGGGCGAGCCACAGAGGAACATTAGATTGTACTGTCAAAAAGTGTGAAATCCTGACAGAATGTTATATCAGTGCTCTTTATGTTTCAAAGAGCTTGATTAACAAGAGTACTAATAGGAGCTGAAAATATGAGATAGATTTCTCATACAGTAATCACAATCACTTGCAAAACAGGATGCATCTTGTTACTCAAATAAGTGACAATAGCACAGCGGGAAGGAACACAGTAGATAACCAAATAACAGTCATCTACTATGAAATTCCGTATTTATAAAAGGAGTATGGGGCAATCAAAATGCTATGAACTTGGAAGAACATTACAATTGAGGTTTTTAAAAAAAAAGACTACATAAAACTGGAGTTTCATTTGGGCCATAAAATAGGAGGGTGACAATGGCACATCATGTTTTTTTCTGTGTCAAAATGCTTGATTTTAACTTAGCTGTGTTGCTTACTCCTACTTCTTGAGCAATAAACTGTCTCATTTAAAGCTTTGGAAGAATGCAGAAGCTTGTGACAAAAATCCCTGCTTCAAAGAAATCATCACATTTTCGAGTTTCTGTCATGATTACTCAATGAATGGATGAATGGGTTGATGGATGGCTAGGTGAAGGGCTAATCAGATAGATAAGATAATTGGGATGAAGAGAATGGATAGACAAATGATTTTACTGAGGAATGTATGGGTGGATGAAAGAGAGAATGGCAGCATGACTAACTAAAGAAATTCTCAAACATCCTTCCTTTTGGATAAGTGAAAATCAAAAGACCTGGGTTGAATTACAGTGACCAGATATGATCTTGGGCAGGTCACCTACATTTTTTAATATTAATTTCCTTTTATTCAAATGTTATTAATAAGGCCATCAGCACCACAGTCAAAAATCTTCTCAGATTATCCTACAGATAATATATACATGAAAGCTTTTTTATACAACTACTCTCTCAAATATCATTACCCCATATAGCTTGACTTCCATATCCGTGGGTCCTGCATTCATGTATTCAAACAATCACAAACAGAAAATATTTTTAAAAAGAAAACAATTTTTAAAACACAGCAATAAAAACTAATATTCAATTTTTTAAAAATACAGTGTAATAACTACTTACATAGCATTTATATACTATTGGGTATGATAAGTACAAGTTGAATATCCCTTATGCTAAATGTTTGGGAATAGAAGTGTTTCAGATTTTGGATTTTTAGAAAACTTCAACAATTTGCATAGACATAATGAGATATCTTGGGGATGAGACTTAAGTCTAAACACAAAATTCATTTATGTTTCATATACACATTATACATACAGCCGGAAGGTATTTTATAAAATAGTTTTAATAATTTTGTGCACCAGTCACATGAGGTCAGGTGTCAGATTTTCTACTGGTGGAATCATCTTGGTAATCAAAAAGTTTTAAATTTTGAGAGATTACAGATTTCAGATTTTCAATTAGGGATGCTCAATTTGTCATCTAGATTATTTAAAATATACAGGAGGATGTACATAGGTTATATGCAAATCCTATGCCAGTGTTTATAAGTAACTTGAGCATTTGTGGATTTTGGAATCCTTGGAGACTCCTGGAACCAACCTCTCATGGATACTGAAAAACACCTATTATGCAGATTTGGAAATGGTGCCTAGTATGCCATCGGGTCATTCTAATTAAATGCTAATAATATAGCCTGCACCACTGAAAAGTGTGTGGTGTGTTTGTGTGTGTGTGCATGTGTACGTTTCTCCCTTCTCCATTCCACAAACAAAACTTGAAATTTGGCTGAAAACTAAAAACCAAACAAAACTTCAAAGGAAACCTGACAACCAAAGACGCCCTCTCACTATTTCACACTAAATAGATCTTTCACACATAAATAAAACTGTTGGAAATATGTATAACTCCTACATTAATAATAATATTAATATTTTATGAAAATAGAGTATTTTGTTCCATTTCTAATCAAAAACAAAAATAATCATTTCAAGCCCACTGTTATAGGCTAAATTATTTTCCATCAAAATCCATATGTTGAAGCCCTAACCCCCAATAACTCATAACATAACAGGATTTGGAGACAAGACCTTTAAACAAAAATGATTATGTTGAAATAAGGCTGTTAGGTTCCTCATCCAATCTGACTGGTGTCTTTATAAGAAGAGGTAATTTGGACCCATATAGAGAGAGCAGGGATGTGAGTGCACAGAGGAAAGACCGTGTCAGGACACAGAGAGAAGGCACCCATCACAAACCAAGGAGAGAAGTCTCGGAAAATAACAAATCTGCTGAAACTTTGATCTTGGACTTCTAGCCTCCAGCACCACGAGAAAATAAATTTCTGTTGCTTAAGTCACCCAGTCTGTGGCATTTTGGTAATGCAGCCCAAGCAAGCTCATACATCTTCCTAAAGCATACTAATTATCAATGAATACCTTATAGATGCAAAATGATGGCTGCAGTTTGCAGTGATACTATGCATAGATATGATTCTAGGTGTGGTAGGTGGGATAGTATCCATTCCCTAATTCCCAGACTTGTAAATATGTGCTTTACCTGTCAAGAGAGATTTTGCAGATGTGACTAAATTAAGCACCTTGAGGTAGGGAGATTTTTTTTTTCTGGATTATCCAAGTAAAACCAATCTAATCACATGAATCCTTAAAAGAAGTTTTTCTCTTGTATTCAGAAGAAGATCTGACTGCACAATAGTCAGTGAGATGTGACCTTCCTGACTTTGACAATGCAAGAATGATGCCACCAACATGGCACATGTATACATATGTAACAAACCTGCACGTTGTGCACATGTACCCTAGAACTGAAAGTATAATAATAATAATAAAAAGAGTTAAAAAAAAAAAAAAAAGAATGATGCCACTAGCCAAGAAATGTATGGGGTCTTTTAGAAGGCTGACAAAGCAAGGATCCAGATTTTCCCCAGAGGCGCTAGAAAGAAACGCAACCCAGTCAGACACTTTTATCTTGGTCCCGTGAGACCTGTGTTAGACTTCTAACTGACAGAATTATAAGATAATGCATTTGTTTCATTTTAAGCCACTAAATTTGTAATAATTAGTCACAGCAACAACAGAGAGCCAATACAGTATTTTCAATTAATGTAAGTAATAGAATTGTTGATGTGTTGACATGTTTACATATGAAGTAGCTAGTGACTTTGGGTAAACCTTGTATCCTTTCTAATTGTACCTTCCTTCCTTTGTAAAATAAGAGAAGGGGTACTAAATTACTTTTTCGATGTTTTCTAGCTCAAATAGCCTGTGAATATTTGGACACATCCTTCCTGTTTGCATGGCTACAGTCGGAAAATATACTGCTACCACAGCTACCCAGACATAGAAGAAAATCCATTCATGTGACTTTTCAGCCATTTCTTCAAGAATACTAATTGAGAGTATCCCTATCCTAGATATATTATATTCATTGTCTATTATTTCATTTAATTATCACAACTCTATGAGGCACATACAAAATTCTCATTTTACATATTCCAGAAACTGAAGATTTGAGATTTAATTGTTTGCTCAATATCACATGTAGCAAGTGATAAAAAAATGATTCAAACCCAAGACTATTAGCTTCTCAAGCCCATGCCTGTTTCATTGTTTCAACATTACGCACCAGAACCAAGTACGGGACAGAAAAAGATAAAAGTCAGCACCTGAAACCAAGGACTCCACTGTTCACAAAACTAGGTGTTTAGTGTTTTGTTTTTAAAGATACATTTTATATATTCCCTGTTTGCTCAATAGTCTTGCGAAGTTAAATCTAAGGTAAGAGTTTTCATCACTGCGGCAGGGAGTGACCTCTGAAAACCAGTAATACCCAATTAACAGCACAGGGTCTGACGTCACCATACTCCCCTGTGGAGAAGAGGCTAAGGATTGAGGTGAGTGGAACAGAACTTCCCCTTTCAAGAAGAATAAGCTTTTGGGAAATCTAGCAAACCTAGAAGATGGAGGTAGAAAGGTAGGGGGTGGGGCATTTGCAGAAAACAATGACAAGATGAAGAATTACTAGCTGTACTTGGCAAATCAGACCCTATCAATGGGAAATACTGATTTCAGTGATCATATATTAATACCACCCGTTAACAAATACACAGATAAAACCTTTCTTTGCACATTCAACCGTATCAGTAATATAATGGCACTGATTCAGTACATAACAGATGCTCACTATATAATTCTGAATATAGGAAAAAGCTCGATTCTCTCATTCCTTCCTCCAAGTATTTCTATATATTTGAGATAGACAAAAATAGATGCATATGTGCATTCACGACTTCTTTATCCACTCTGATTATTAAAAACATTGTGTCGGCCAGGCATTGTGGCTCATGCCTGTAATCCCAGCACTTCGGGAGGCTGAGGTGGGCAGATCACCTGAGGTTAGGAGTTTGAGACCATTCTGGCCAACATGGTGAAACCCCTGTCTCTACCAAAAATACAAAAATTAGCTGGGTGTGGTGGCGCATGCCTGACGTCCCAGCTACTTGGGAGGCTGAGGCAGGGGAACTGCTTGAACCCAGGAGGCGGAGGTTGCAGTGAACCGAGATCATGCACCTGCACTCCAGCCTGGTCAACAGAGCGAGATTCCATCTCAAAAAATAAGTAAATAAATAAATAATAATAATAATAGTAAAAACGTTGTGTCTGGCCTGGTGAACTCAGGTCACTATCAAATTGTATGGTCTCTTTAAACTTTTTTGTATTGATTAGATATGCTAGTTTTATTTGCAATGAAAAGTTGTCAGCACTACTAACACAGATACTAATAGATATGGAAAGGAGAGGGAATAAAAGTGGCAAAAAGCTCACCTGGGCAGGAGTTAGGGGAGAATATCTGCTTTCTGCCATATTAGTTATTTACTTTCAATATTGGTGCATTTGAGGAGAGAAAAAATATTGGGGGACACGTTATTAATGTAAAAGACTGTCAGAAACACCAGAGGGAGACTCGGATTCCAAAAGTTTCTTTAAATGATAAATATGTAGACTTCACTTTGTCATATTATGAAGTGCTGACATTAAAGAAATAAATTGATTTTTAATTATTTTTGCATGTGAGAACTGAGGGTACTTTGAAAGTGACCTTGTGCTAGGATAAAGTCTTGTTGCAGTTCAGCATTGCACAAATTATTTACCTATTAGTGTGTGTGTGTGTGTGTGTGTGTGTGTGTGTGTGTGTGTGTGTATGATGTCTGTCCTTGCAAGTTGGGAGTAGGAGGAGAGAACTGGGGAGAGAGGATGGAAGGATGGAATGCCGCTGTGTTCCTGCTGGCTGAGTTTTAGTCATCTATAGGTAAGGTTTTTTTAAAATACCTGGTCATTTTCTTCAGGGTGCAGGACAATTTTCTGGATGGCCTTGAACCAATTCAGTTCTCCCTGCTTTCTCTCCTGTACTGTTCAAGAATAACTGTAGAATGTGATGGGAATGCAACATCCTGAGATATGGAAAGACTGGTCAGACAGCCTGGGCTCTGTTCCTGTCCCTCCTACAAACAAGATGCCCTTCAACATTTGAGCCTAGTGTGTCCTGTTCCCCAGGTTATAAATCCTAAGGCAGACTGTTTTCTGGGGTCCCTTGGTAGCAGTACAAGTGGGGCATGCACAGACGAGACTTCATCCACCCTGTGCAGCATTACTGAGCCTTGGAGATAGGCTCATCATGAATCCTAGGCTTCTGTTGTCCCTTGCTGCCTATCTGTAAGTAACAAATCCACATGTTGTAGCTTGTTATGTATGTGAACATTCTATCTCACCAGACTCAGGCAAGGAGTAAAAGTACAGCCCAAGATGCAGTGAACTGAAGTGGTACCTAGTACATAGTGAACCTTCTTTGCACAGGGTACTGAACAATTCTGGCAAGAAGTAAAGCTGTAAAGTTGGTGACAAGATCTTCCCTACATCTACAGGAACTGCCTCTGTGAGGACTTTAGACCTAAGCCCTGGAAGAAACAGGGGTGTCAAGAGTAGCAGAACTCGTAGAATAGTCCATAGACCCCTGGCGATCTCTAAGACTCTTCCCAGGCAACCAGGAGGTCAAAGTTATTTGCTTTTTTTTTTTTTTTTTTTACCGTACTGACATTTGTACTGATGTACATGTAATGATGGGTACAACTGCTGCCACCTTAGTACCAATCAACACAGTGCCAACAACTGTACTGAGTCATAGAACTCTTCATTACTCACTCTCAGGATTAAAAAAAAAAAATCCAGTTTCACGTAAGAGTGTCTTTCATTATGCAGTAAAAAATATTTTTATTAACTCTCAGCCCTATGTACTTATATTAGTAATAATCTGTAATGAAAGGGGAGTACACACAAACCACTTCTGGTACATACCGAACTATGAGTGTCGACTCAAGAGTGTAGCCTGGAGAGGTGATCAGGGAGGAGCCAAGATGGCCGAATAGGAACAGCTCCGGTCTACAGCTCCCAGCGTGAGCGACGCAGAAGACGGGTGATTTCTGCATTTCCATCTGAGGTACCCGGTTCATCTCACTAGGGAGTGCCAGACAGTGGGCGCAGGTCAGTGGGTGCGCGCACCATGCGCGAGCCGAAGCAGGGCGAGGCATTGCCTCACTTGGGAAGCGCAAGGGGTCAGGGAGTTCCCTTTCCGAGTCAAAGAAAGGGGTGACAGACGGCACCTGGAAAATCGGGTTACTCCCACCCGAATACTGCGCTTTTCCAACGGGCTTAAAAAACGGTGCACCACGAGATTATATCTGGCACCTGGCTCGGAGGGTCCTACGCCCACGGAGTCTCCCTGGTTGCTAGCACAGCAGTCTGAGATCAAACTGCAAGGCGGCAGCGAGGCTGGGGGAGGGGCGCCCGCCATTGCCCAGGCTTGCTTAGGTAAACAAAGCAGCCGGGAAGCTCCAACTGGGTGGAGCCCACCACAGCTCAAGGAGGCCTGCCTGCCTCTGTAGGCTCCACCTCTGGGGGCAGGGCACAGACAAACAAAAAGACAGCAGTAACCTCTGTAGACTTAAATGTCCCTGTCTGACAGCTTTGAAGAGAGCAGTGGTTCTCCCAGCACGCAGCTGGAGATCTGAGAACCGGCAGACTGCCTCTTCAAGTGGGTCCCTGACCCTGACCCCCGAGCAGCCTAACTGGGAGGCACCCCCCAGCAGGGGCATACTGACACCTCACACGGCAGGGTATTCCAACAGACCTGCAGCTGAGGGTCCTGTCTGTTAGAAGGAAAACTAACAAACAGAAAGGACATCCACACCGAAAACCCATCTGTACATCACCATCATCAAAGACCAAAAGTAGATAAAACCACAAAGATGGGGAAAAAACAGAACAGAAAAACTGGAAACTCTAAAAAGCAGAGCGCCTCTCCTCCTCCAAAGGAACGCAGTTCCTCACCAGCAACGGAACAAAGCTGGACGGAGAATGACTTTGACAAGCTGAGAGAAGAAGGCTTCAGACGATCAAATTACTCCAAGCTACGGGAGGACATTCAAACCAAAGGCAAAGAAGTTGGAAACTTTGAAAAAAATTTAGGAGAATGTATAACTAGAATAACCAATACAGAGAAGTGCTTAAAGGAGCTGATGGAGCTGAAAACCAAGGCTCGAGAACTACATGAAGAATGCAGAAGCCTCAGGAGCCGATGAGATCAACTGGAAGAAAGGGTATCAGCAATGGAAGATGAAATGAATGAAATGAAGTGAGAAGGGAAGTTTAGAGAAAAAAGAATAAAAAGAAATGAGCAAAGCCTCCAAGAAATATGGGACTATGTGAAAAGACCAAATCTACATCTGATTGGTGTACCTGAAAGTGATGGGGAGAATGGAACCAAGTTGGAAAACACTCTGCAGGATATTATCCAGGAGAACTTCCCCAATCTAGCAAGGCAGGCCAACGAACAAAGAACAAAGAAACAAAAGAACAAAGCTGGAGGCCTCACGCTACCTGACTTCAAACTATACTACAAGGCTACAGTAACCAAAACAGCATGGTACTGGTACCAAAACAGAGATATAGATCAATGAAACAGAACAGAGCCCTCAGAAATAATGCCGCATATCTACAACTATCTGATCTTTGACAAACCTGAGACAAACAAGCAATGGGGAAAGGATTCCCTATTTAATAAATGGTGCTGGGAAAACTGGCTAGCCATATGTAGAAAGCTGAAACTGGATCCCTTCCTTACACCTTATACAAAAATCAATTCAAGATGGATTAAAGACTTAAATGTTAGACCTAAAACCATAAAAACCCTAGAAGAAAACCTAGGCATTACCATTCAGGACATAGGCATGGGCAAGGACTTCATGTCTAAAACACCAAAAGCAATGGCAACAAAAGCCAAAATTGACAAATGGGATCTAATTAAACTAAAGAGCTTCTGCACAGCAAAAGAAACTACCATCAGAGTGAACAGGCAACCTACAAAATGGGAGAAAATTTTCGCAACCTACTCATCTGACAAAGGGCTAATATCCGGAATCTACAATGAACTCAAACAAATTTACAAGAAAAAAACAAACAACCCCATCAAAAAGTGGGCGAAGGGCATGAACAGACACTTCTCAAAAGAAGACATTTATGCAGCCAAAAAACACATGAAAAAATGCTCATCATCACTGGCCATCAGAGAAATGCAAATCAAAACCACAATGAGATACCATCTCACACCAGTTAGAATGGCAATCATTAAAAAGTCAGGAAACAACAGGTGCTGGAGAGGATGTGGAGAAATAGGAACACTTTTACACTGTTGGTGGGACTGTAAACTAGTTCAACCATTGTGGAAGTCAGTGTGGCGATTCCTCAGGGATCTAGAACTAGAAATACCATTTGACCCAGCCATCCCATTACTGGGTATATACCCAAAGGACTATAAATCATGCTGCTATAAAGACACATGCACACGTATGTTTATTGCGGCATTATTCACAATAGCAAAGACTTGGAACCAACCCAAATGTCCAACAATGATAGACTGGATTAAGAAAATGTGGCACATATACACCATGGAATACTATGCAGCCATAAAAAATGATGACTTCATGTCCTTTGTAGGGACATGGATGAAATTGGAAATCATCATTCTCAGTAAACTATCACAAGAACAAAAAACCAAACACCGCATATTCTCACTCGTAGGTGGGAATTGAACAATGAGAACACATGGACACAGGAAGGGGAACATCACACTCTGGGGACTGTTGTGGGGTGGGGGGAGGGGGGAGGGATAGCATTGGGAGATATACCTAATGCTAGATGACGAGTTGGTGGGTGCACCGCACCAGCATGGCACATGTATACATATGTAACTAACCTGCACAATGTGCACATGTACCTTAAAACTTAAAGTATAATAATAATAATAATAATAATAAAAGAAAAAAAAAAGAGTGTAGCCTGATTGTTTCATTTGTAAGCTGAACTAACCACTTTATTTGTAAAACCTCATGTTCTTGAAAAAAACAACTGAAAGCAAACTATGGCTATTCTGACTTCTGTATTTAGCAGATATTTTATCCAAAATAAATACAACTAGCTTATTCTTTTAAAGATAACCAACCATAGTTACCCACATCAAAATCTGAGCTTTCTAGCAAATACTCGAATTTCAGAAAATCTGTCCCCGAACAGAAACTTCTAAATACTTAAATATTTTTCTGTGAAATTGCTGATGTTACAGAATATGATTTTTTGATACTGTATAATAAAATCTGGAAGTTCTACATAGCTCAGTAAACCAGTATTTCCCAAATACATGATGTTAGAAAATTATTAATCAGCAAAAGAGCCATTACAAGTGCAAAAGAGCAGGGCATGGTAATCTAAGCACTTTGGATTTTGAGGTCATGGGGGCCAGCTGCATGGCTCACGCCTTTAATTCCAGCACTTTGGGAGGCTGAGGCAGGCAGATCACGAGGTCAGGAGTTCAAGACCAGCCTTGCCAACATGGTGAAACCCCATCTCTACTAAAAAATACAAAACTTAGTCGGGCACGGTGGCATGTGCCTGTAATCCCAGCTACTCAGGAGGCTGAGGCAGGAGAATTGCTTGAACCCAGGAGGCGAAGATTGCAGTGAGCAGAGATTGCACCACTGCACTCCAGCCTGGGCGACAGAGCAAGCCTGGGGAAAAAAAAAAATAGAGGTCACATCGATTCTAAGCCACCTCTTCAGAGACAAATGAAATATGCAGCCGAAGTTGTCCACAAAATAAAACGAAGTCTCAATTTCTATTGTTGTGTGTGCACACAGCCCCAATAATTTAGGACAGATTTTCCTAATCATAGGACAGAAAGAATCCAGGCCTTTGATAACAAATATTAGCTGTCTGCCGGATCAATACTGTAGTGCACTTTAAGGAAATAAACAGCATGCACTCCTAAATATTTTCCATGCAAATTTTGTGTAAAAAACAATCACCTTCTAAAGATATTTTTATTATATGAGGAATTCGCGTTTACTGTAGAATATGTGGCAAATTAAATAAGCATACAGAGCAAAATAAAACACTCCACCCAGAGGCAACCATCTCTTTATTATTTATATAAAAAGACATATAAAGAGAGAACTATGCTACACCTGAGACAGTATTTTATATACCATTTTGCATCCTGCTTTTTTCACTTTATTGTTTTTAGATAATGACATGCCAATTTTATGTATAATTTGTATATAAATAATGTACATGTGAAAAACTTTTTTATGAAAGTTCTTTTTAGAGATCTGTTGATGAGAGGGACTTGAATTTTCATAACCATTCCCACTACTGTCCTATGTTGAGGCAATTTTCACTTTGTCATGCTTATAACTAATGCTATGTCCAGGTTTTTGATCCAGAAGCTGTCAAATGTAGATTCATTCACATGGAAAAAATCTAAAATCCAGGCAATGATATAAATGTCTTTTTAAAACTCTAAAATTTATAAATCACATACAAATTTATGCAATTTTGGAGTGGGGTATTTTTAAACTTTATTCTTATTGAGAATAGATGAATATAGTTCAAAGTACATGTGATAATTTAATACATTCATATAATTTGTAAAGAATAATTCACTGTACTTGGGATATCCATCACCTTAAATATTTGTATTTTCCTTATGCTAAAACCATTCAAATAATTTATGCAGTCTGGCAAAATATAATTGCCCACCTTCTAACAGTTGAGAAATGAATAATAAAGCTTATTGACCGGTAACAAAATACATTGTGTCATGTTTCTACCAATAATTCATATATGATATTAAGCTGTATCAATGCTGTCTTATACGTTGCTTCATTTGATTTTTCCCACAACCCTGGGGAATTCTTCTGGCCATGAACAAAATTAGATAGCTTGAGGATTAGAACACAGGCGTCTTCATTCCAAATTCAACTCCTTTCATTCCACCGTCGGTCAGACACTCAATAAGTATTTTATTGTATAAAAAGCATTATCTGAACTAAAATTAATTGATAATGGACATCCGCACTCAATCTTTTTAGTCCTCAGTGTCATCACTGATAACTTTTGCCATTAATAACCAATACAAGTAGCAGCATAACGTTTGGGAAAAAATTATAGGGTTGGCATCACAAAACATGGGTCTGAAAGCTTCAGTGTATGACCACAGGAAAGTCAAATTTATTTTGCTTTAATTTAATGAATATTTTAGATATGAGGAAATAAACTCTTCCCTCTTTGAACTGTTGTGAATAATAAGTGAAATACTATATGTCACATATACAACATAAAGCTGGCATATTCAAGTTCCCTGACCAGAATATTGTCAGGTGAATATTGTCTCAGGTTATTATGAAGCCCTGGCAATCTAGATGGCTAGAGGATATATATATATATACATCACATGTATATATATTTAAATATATATAAATATATGTGATGTATATATGTGATAAATATATAATATTTAAATATATATTATATATGTGATGTATATATTTGTGTATATATTTAAATATATTATATATTTACTATATATATTTAAATATATACACATATATATCTCTTTAGAACAGGGTAAACTTCTGCAAGCATCAGAATCATGGGTATCAGAATCATAAGTAAAAACACAGATTACTGGGCCCTCTCTAGCAATTTTGGGATGGGACCAAAAAAAAACTTGGATTTCTAAGAAGTTCCTGGGTGATGCTAATATTGTTGATCCAGGCACCACACTATGAGGACCGCTGACTTCGAGATCAAAAAGTTATTCCTTTCTGTGGTTGTTGTTGTGTTGTTGTCGTTTTAATCCTGATACTCTAAGTGGGATGGTATTATTTGGCAATGCCACTTTTAATAAGTGGTTCGAAATGTTTCCATTAGGGAATAATCAATTTTAGGTTCCAAACATTTTTTGGGACTTTTGAACATTCACTTCTGAATACTAAAACACTTGATTATGTTGAAATATACACAACCCTTTAACAATTATTTATAATACTTCTACTGTGTGCACAGCCTATAGGTTCTCACGCATCATCTTGTTAGAGGCCATAGCAGATTCCCATTCTTCTTACAGAGTTAAATATCAGGCCAAAGTTACCTGCTCACCCAGATACACAGGTACATGGGATATTTAATAACAAAATTCCTTCCCCACCTCTGACCTCTACATTCACTACTGAAAGTTGTTGAAAATAATAAGCTTGCTAGACTTCATCAGTGTGTTCTCGTGTGAAGGTTAAAGAGCATCATACTCAAAAATTGCAGTCATGAATATACAGGATCTTGGTGATTGATGGAACAATATAATCAGAAGAAATGAATATTAGTTTCTGTTTTTTTTTTTAAAAGAAACACTTAAACTAAAAACCTTCTTATCCACGTAGTCATCTTTAGTTACTGCAATTCTAAAATTCAACCTTCTATTTTTGGCCTCTCCTCCTGTTTGGGCAGAATAAATCAATAAATAAAAACGGTTTAAATAAAGAGCTGTTAATTGTCCTGAGGAGGATTATTTGTAAGACACTCTTAATGTAGGATTTCCATAGAGTTGCTAATTGTTCCGTACTTTGAAATTCGTCGTTCTGAGAATGAGATGCAGTTGGTAATGTAAATATCAACCAGGTAGAGGGTGTTACTCTGTATTAGCATCCAGATTATTATTCAGTCATAATTAATACGCTCCTAAAATAAAGTGTTGACAGCACTCCTATTCAATCATATAGCATATGTTTATAGTCTCACACATTGAGGTACACACATAATTACAATATATGTGTGAGAAAAATTGCTGAGGCAGTCCAAGAAGCTGTGCTTACACTAATTGAAAACTGCCATTGTCCAATTAAAGCAGGTGAGACCACAGGGTGGCAACACTGTCAAAAGCCAATCAGACATGGCCACGCTGGTTAAATTACAAGACAAAATAAAATAAGAAGAGCAAACAAGATTTTGTTTTTCTTGTTGTGGTTGTTTTAATAGAACACTGAGAAGCTAATGGCAATCAAGATACTCATTGTTTCTCCTTACCCCAGTTAAGAATTAATCTCAATAAAATACTATATTATTACAGAAAATATTGAGTAGCTCAAAAGCACAAGGCTCACCTTTCACCAAAATTGATGCTATCAGAAGGAGGAGAAACATTATTTTTACTGTTAGAGATGTGACTTTGATGACTTTAGAGAAGCTAAAGGAGTGTGCTATTACAATTTGTTTTATTTCTATTTTTCTCCATTAGGCCTCATTAGGAAATAATTAATGCATCATGTGTAATTACAGAAGAATCACTCCACACTCATTTCAAAGCATCAAGCAACATGAATTTCAAGGGGAGTTTAAAGTAGGGTCACTCATCTGCAAGAGCACAATATACTACTCCTTTGAGGAAATGTATGTCATAAAATGTTAAATTCAAGACTCATAGTAAATATCCACTTACTCCATAAATGTTTTGACTTCTGAAGTATTTTTTTAGCAGGACACAACAAAGCAAAACAGAGTCTCTAACATTATTATTTCAAAGGTGACTCCAACCAGGATCAGGTCAGAAAGTAGCAGAGAAAAGAGGAAAAGATGGAGAAAGAAGAAAGCAATAAACGTATATTGAGAATCTACTATATACCATATACTGTTCAAATTGCTTTACATACATTACTTCATCCTTACTATACCTTCACAAGGTTGTTTCTTTTTTCTCATTTGATCAATGAGAAATCTGAGATTCAGAGTAGATAAGTAACCTGCTCCAAGCCACACAAACTAATAAGAAGCAGAATCATAAAATGTTGATTTGGGACTCAGAAGGGGTGTGTGTGTGTGTGTGTGTGTGTGTGTGTGTGTGTGTGTATACATTTACCTTACAAGTGGGAAAATAAAATCTATGTTCCAAATATGGGAAGAATGAAATAGAATAAACATTCATTGAGGTTTGATCCTTTGGCAGATAATTTAAATCACAAGACAAAAAAATAAGAAAACAGATATTTGAACCCAAGTATGCCTGACAGCAGCCCATTAATCTCCAATACTTCACATTCCTTTCCAAAGTCTTCTGATTTATTTGTAGACAGTTTTTCTTCCTGTCTTTGTAACACCTTCAAATTAACACCCTGATCTGTGTCCTTGTTAGCTATTTTTCTAAAGGGTCAGCTCCTGCATTCACCAACAGATGAAAACCATTAGGTGGTAGAAGGACTTTTTTATATCCTTAGGGTTCTGTGACACCTGACAGATGGAGCATATGCCCACAAACAACCCAGCATTTAAGCAATTGTTGTCTGTGCAACAGAGACAGGCAGAATGCAGTGTGCTCAGTCACAGGAGGCACTGTTAAAGGATTCATAATTTTGATTCAATAGATTCCATTATTTCTTTTGTGAGTCTACATGAGTCTCTTTAATAGTAACGGCAATTTTATGTAGACTCACGCTGGAGACTGGCATCTAGGGTGTGCTGAGCTAATGGCAAGGTTTGGGAGGAAAAATGGATACAAAGGGTCTCATTTAAGATATTATGTACTTTTTATTTGAAGTGGCTAATTACTGCCATTGAACTCTGCCATTCATACCTTTCATGACAATTTCAAGGATAAAGAGTAAAAAACAACAGACACATTAGAAGGCATTGCATGAGTCATCGCCTGTTATCTGAGTGCTCCACCAGTTAGCCTTGGAGATCATTCATATTCATTTCTCTCCTTTTTTCATTTTGCCTTGATTCACTTGTCATGTAATTCAATATCCTTGTACAGTAGAAAGAATATGGGTTTTGAAGTTATTCAGTCCTCAACCCCAATCCCAGCTTTGCGATTTAAATATCAGGTAACTTCAGACAAATCATTTTACTTCTCTTAGCTTCAGTTTCTATATTGCTACAGGGATAATACTATTTTATGGAGTCAGTATGGGGTTTACATTAACTAGAAGTATGCCTGTTAACTGGAAATAGTAGGTACATGGGTGTAGATATAAGTATAGTAGATACAGATCTTGATTTGCTAAACATTATTTTATTTCTCCTTCCTTAGGTCTTACACTAAACACACACACACTGTACATATTTTTAATGTTAAATCATAGATATTATATATGTATATTTATAAGTATAAATATTTGTAAACTAATTCTAGAATTCTATTTGAAATAATGCTAAAACTGCAATTATAATTTTAGTTAGATATATGCCTCCTAGACAAATATCAAAAGGTTAATAATTACTTAATATTTCCACATAAAAGTCACATTATTCACTAGTTCCATGACTCAAAACTAGGCTTTCTGTGTTATTCAAATCATGAGTAATGTTGGGGTCAGGTGGCACCCCGTCAGGCACCCCATCAGGTGGCACCTAATGGCCCAGGCATCGTCAAACTCTGTGCCAGGGGCAGGATCTGTTGTGATGCCTCAGTAGACATGGCATGAGGGGCCCAGTGGCCAACATGGCTACCGCATGATACTGAAGCCTCAATGTATCCATTTCAAATATATTTGTTGAAGATATTGTTTAACAAGAAGAGTAGGCTAGTTAAAATATTTGAAAATCATTGCTGTGGATACACTAATACCTATCCCTACACTACATACGAACACATGAGAGCTCCATTGCAATATTATTTGTATAACCAGTCCTTCCCTTCGGTAAAGTTAGTTCCACTGAATTGCATTTTGCATGCAATAGTTGCACTTTTGTGACCTACATTAAGGAATGCTAGAAATTAAAAGTCCTATGAAATACCTCACTGTGGTATTACATGGCTGGTTTTAAGGACATTGCTCATTACAGCACCTACTGTACCACTAACAGAAAATACTTAGGGCAAAACAAGTAGTCCCAACAATAAGACAGTAACCAAATTTCTTGATGTGAATCAGTTTATTTTATCTTTTAGGTACTTTGATTTGTACTACTCATCAACTTTCACACTTCACGATGAATACTGTGAATCTGAGAGTCAAATTTTTGGCCCTGTCAAAACCAAAGTTAAAGGAATTCTATTACATAATGTTGCATATTAGCTACATTTACTATGCCAGTTTTGCTCTTTCATGAAGAAACCTTGTCAGCTCTAAGACATGAGATAAGAAAGCTTGTGCCATCTATGGCTCTTGACTGTCCTGGGTAACTGCATCTATCATGTCCCTGCACTATACCTCCTCAGTTGCTGCCTATCTCACCTCCAACTCTAAACCTGGAGACAAGGACTGCACCCCTAGCCACTGAGTGTTGTAACCTCTTGATTCTAACAGTGGCCACTGTACTAATGCTCCCACTAACCATAAATAGTAGAGGTTTAGCATTATTTTAAATGAGCAAATGGAAATCACACTTTATTTTAGACACACTATGAAAATGGGTGATATAAGGACTCTTTATAGGTGCTGTTGTATAAGCCGTCTCATCAAAATATCCTTTGTCTGTCTACATTGTATTCTAAGAGGCCTACACATTTGGGCCTAAAATGGCATCTGAACATTGTAGAAAAGGGACATCTACATAAAAGCAGAAGTGTCTGTCAAGTGACATACATTAGACTGTTCTTTAATAGGGCTTATAGAGTTGTTTTTAGGTTTTGTTTTGATTTGAGATGGAGTCTCGTTCAGTTGCCCAGGCTGGAGTGCAGTGGCATGATCTCGGCTCACGGCAAACTCTGCCTCCCGGGTTCACGCCATTCTCCTGACTCAGCCTCCCGAGTAGCTGGGACTACAGGTGCCCGCCACCATGCCCAGCTAATTTTTTTGTATTTTTAGTAGAGACGAGGTTTCACCTTGTTAGCCAGGATGGTCTGGATCTCCTGACCTCATGATCTGCCCGCTTCAGCCTCCCAAAGTGCTGGGATTACAGGCGTGAGCCACAGCGCCTGGCCTGTTTTTAGGTTTTTACCTGTTGTAAACTCCTGTGTTATGTATTTTCTATGTATAAGCATCTTGAACCTTGGTTTCCTATTCTGTACGGAATGGATGAAATTACATATCTAGTAGCTTTGGTATCAACACAGTCATCCTGAATCCAGAGCTCTTTCTCTTAACCATGTGACCAAAACAAAAATCTGACTACAAAAGGTTTGGGCTAGGTGTTTTCATTCTCAACTATCTCAGAAAGGGTTGGCTGTTCGCCTACATGGATTCGAGATTCTTATGAAGAGACCTATTATACTGACTGAGCTTACCAGCAGTGATTTCCAACAAATCCACAAATGGACTTATTGTACCTTATTTTTTAACAGGTTGGGAATCAATAAATCAATCAACAAATTGATACAAGACTGGGTGCACTGGGTCCCATCTGCAATCCGCCACTTTGGGAAGCCAAGATGGCAGTATATCTTGAGGTCAGGAGTTGGAGACCAGCCTGGGCAACATAAGCTGACCCCATCTCCACAAAAAAAATTAAAAATTTTAGCCACACGTGGTGGCAAATGCCTGTAGTTCCAGCCACTTGGGTAGCTGAGGCAGGAGGATTGCTTGAGCCCAGGAGTTAGAGGCTGCAGTGAGCTATGATCAAGCCACTGCACTCCAGCCTGGGTGACACAGCAAGAACCTAGTCTCTTAAACAAAACAAAACAAAAAAATTGATATATTCAAAACACATGTCAATTACATGACTCAGCCAAAAGCCAATATTAAATAAAGTATAGTCATAAGTCAGTTTAACATACGCAGAGTTTGTTCTTCTATGACTCTGTTCCATAACAAATATATGTAAGAGATGGCATTTAAACAGAAGGTTGATTGTTAATCAGTTTGTAATCACAGTAGTGATTATAACTGAGAGCTGAAAAACAACTACTTACTTATATTTGTATTATCCAGTGCCAAGAGTAAGAGAAACATTTAAAGTAAAAAGAGCTGTCAACAGTAAAGGTAAAAATTTTATTAATAGAGTGATTGCCCAGGATTTTCTTGTTTAAATTAACTAAAGTTAGAAAACACACACACACACACACACACACACACACACACACCCCTATGTATACGCAGGCATTTTTTAATGAGAAATTCAAATTTATTATGTTTAAGTGCATATAATCTTTAGATGCAAATTAATGAACTGTTGCTAGGATGCACCCCAACTTAAGAACAGGATAAGAATGATTTGAATTTAGCACATTAAGTCACTGACCTTTGCTTACACTACAACTAGATGGCCTATTTGTCAGTGCACCCTTGAAAAGTATTTGAAAGTAGCTTATTTCTTCTATGCCAAAAGGACTGTAGGTTTACAACCCTGCATTGACCTTTTGAATTCTGAATTCATCATTCACAAACCTTAGGAGACACTTGCTTTGGGCTTAGAATATGTGTTAAGAACTATGTGGACCCTTTATTTCATAAAAATAAGCCATAAACTCTTTTTCAGTCCTGGTAAAATAATTTCCAGATTTAAAATGCCTAAAGTAAGAGTTTGTACTATATCATTTATTTCTCCTTGGACCATTAAGGATTTTCTAACCACAATTTTGTCTAGTTAAGAAAAGTAGTCTCTAGATATTTGTCTGCAACAAAACAAAAAGCCATAAATGTCACCCCCAGCGAAATTCCTCGTGTTATTCTTCAATGTGTAGCTTGAATAGCCCAAGAGATAAAATGCAAGCTTTCAAAAAAGTCAAACTTGCTTCCAAATTGGGTTTGACTAGCTAAATGCTCATTTAGCCACATTATCAAATTAAACAAGTTACTGAATAGTCATGTCAAAGACAGTACTTACTGCAGCATTTTCTGTGTATTTGATTACACCATTTCGAAATTGTGAGATATAAACGTACAGTAACAATATATCACTTAAAACGAAAAAGTTGAAATCATGAGGACCTTTTGTTTTGTTTTGTTTTGTTTTGTTTCAGAACAGGGTTTCACTTTGTCGCCCAGGCCAGAGTGCAGTGGCGTGATCACTCCACTGTCATCTCGAACTCCTGGGTTCAATCTATCCTCCCACCTCAGCCTTCCGAGTAGCTGAGGCCACGAGTGCACACAACCATGCACAGCTAATTTTTAAAAAATAATTATTATTTTCGTAGAGACAGGAATCTCACTATGTTGCTCAGGCTGGTCTCAAACTCCTGGCTTCAAGTGATCCTTCCACCTCGGTTTCCCAAAGCACTGTGATTACAGGCATGAGCCATTGCACTCAGCCTAATAAGGACTTTTCTAAAAAAAACATTCATTAGGAATCACCTGTTTCAGGGCATTCTGACTGAATGAAATATAAGCAGTATGTTGCTCTTGTCACACTGCTGAGCCACTTTTCCTGGATATTAGAAACCCCCACTTTCCATGATCAGTAACTATGCCACCAATGTCATTTGGGCCCCTCAGAAAGATTGTGAGGGATTTCTCCCATTTTAATGTAAATGTTACATAAAAGTAACATTAATTGTAAATGTTAAGCAAAATGTTAGACAAAAATGCTACCCACAGTTATAAGACGTACCCTTAAAACATCTATAATACTAAAGGTGTGGTCCTAGGATTTCTGCTGAAAACATAACACAAACATGTTCGAGGGAGCTCATGCACATATACACAGATCTAACGTACAACTGGCTTAGAAGAGAAATGTGATAGAATATAATGAAAAAGCACAGGCTGGGCGCTATGGCTCACCCCTGTAATCCCAGCACTTTGGGAGGCCGAGGCGGGCGGATCACGAGGTCAGGAGATCGAGACCATCCTGGCTAACACGGTGAAACCCTGTCTGTACTAAAAATACAAAAAATTAGCCGGGCGTGGTGGTGGGCGCCTGTAGTCCCAGCTACTCGGGAAGCTGAGGCAGGAGAATGGCGTGAACCCGGGAGGCGGAGCTTGCAGTGAGCCGAGAAGGCGCCACTGCACTCCAGGCCTGGGCCACAGAGCAAAACTCCGTCTCAAAAAAAAAAAAAAAGAAAAGAAAAGAAAAAGCACAGAATATTTCCATGACCATAACATATTATTAATTTAAAAGAGAGCACTCTGGGATCTATTAGAGATATTGCTAAAACAAAAGATGAAGCATTACTAAAACAAAAATGTAATTCAAAGATTTTGAATAGATGTACTCTAAAGGTGTGTTAAGAGTGTATATATTTGTTTCACCAAATATATGCTCCAAACAAGAGCATATTTATGCTCCGTGTAAAAGTTAATCTGGAGTAATGTGATTTTTAATATATATAGTGTCCTTAAATATTGTACCACTCCCGTATAGTGACCCAGAACTCTCTCAGGCATACAGTAAAACAATAGTTTAAGAGTGGTGAAAGTTGTATCATTACTTATTTTCTGGGCCCCGCTTCTCATTTATTATTTTAAAAAGCAGTTGTTTCATGACCCATTCTAAACCCTGTGGATATAAGAGTGAATACGTCAGAGTTGTTTCCTGTCTTCTATCAGCTCCTAGAACTTGATTTGAATTTCACAGGAAAAAACACAGTAACTTTAAAATAAAAAATAACCAGTTGCAGGGAAAAAAGATCTCAACCTTTAGCCTAGTACTCTAAACTTTAATGTGGACCTGCATGCACCTCCTGGGAATCTTGTGAAAATACATATTTTGATTCAGCAGACCCAGGATGGGACCTGAGGTTTTTAATGTCTATGAAGCTTCCAGGTGATATTGAGGTTGTGATCCAGGAAGCCGTTGGACACACTTTGAGAAGCAATGCAGAAATCCATTCTTTGGTCAGTATAAATGAGGGATAACCGCCCTTATTAAAAGGAAGTAATATTGATCAAGGAGGCTGTTGTCTTCTTTCTTACTCCTAATAACACTGAGAGTGAGACCTTCTCATCTCTATTTTAAATATATGAAAAAGTAAAGAGAGACTGTACAGCCAAATTTAAATCTAGGTTCAGTCCAAAGCTCTTTGTCTTTCCAGTTAACCTCATTGTTCATCAAACGAAGAGAATCAATATTATTCGAAGTGTTTCAGAAATTAGAGTAAGTCCAGTATGGTCAGGCAACAGAGGAGAGTGACAAGAGGAGAGGCTGTATTTGCAGGCAGTAGGCTGTTTGTGGGCATCGTATATTATGCTGCGGGCATAGATATATTAGGGATATTGAACTTTTACCCACAAGGTCTTGGAGAAACTAACAAATGATTTAGAGCAGGAGAGTAACATGTCCAGACATGTATTTTTGAAAATCATTCACATTCCAGTGTGGAAAAATGACTGAAATAATGTGATTTTGAACTTAGAAAAGATTTTTTAAATTACATATATCTTTTTAAATATGTAGTGAAATAAATCAGACGAGGAAGGATAGAAATGTGGCTTAGGGTAGCAGCAGCCCAAATGGAGAGACAGTGAGATTGAAGACATATTTATTGGGATAAATTATTAATGAGGATACTAATTAATCTATGTGCCTGTTTTTTTCTTTTAGTGCTGGTGGTGATTTTTTTTGTTTGTTTTTTGCAACCTTCACATGTGGCAAAAGAGACAGAGCTCCAGAAGATTTTTCTCCTACTAATTTAAGGTCTCATATGGTCTAGTACATTTTACATTAGCTTTTACAATGTTTCCCAAAGAGAGATACATATGTTAATTTTAAGTAGTATAGCGAGAACAATTTTAAAAATACATGGATTTATTTTTCTCTGACTAAGGAGAGGAACTAACACATCAAAACCTGCGATTGTAGTAATAATATTGGTTATGTCAGGTCAGAAATCATCTGCTATATTCAGACGGGATCAATAGCAGGAATGTGTTTGGATGGTGCCGGCATATGGTGCAAACTAAGAAGATAATACCTGAATAAATGAATTTGCCTCATCCCACACCTTACAGAAGCACTGAGTGGTTCCCTGATTCAGTGGAAGCCAGACATCCTATCTAAACCTCTAGAACACCAGGGTCCCGGCTGCTGAGAACTCCAGGCACACGAGGCTGCTTGGGAAAGGTAAGTAGCAATATGTTTCAGAAGCTTTAGAGGAAAAATATAAAACGTGCTTGGAAATCTGAACAAACGCCCACCTTCAAGCCTTCCCTCCTAATAAGCATAGCTTATAACAACAAAAGGCCTCTGAGAGGCCTTGGGTAAGTTGTAATTCTATGCTAGTTAGTGTAAATTGAGGAACAGAAACAAATGGAAAGCTTATGTAAAGATTGTGGAGGGACAGTATACGATATTGTATCCTATGCATTTAAGAACATGGGTTGTATGTCACCCACATTTCCTATGGTATATATGCCACTTAACCTTAAATAATTTACTTATTTTATTACAGTATTTTAGATGGGAAAATATAAAGTCAAAACAGAACTCTGCGAGGTAGGTGTCTGGTATGAAGCAATTAATTAATGGAAGCTTAACTTATTATATCATTATGAGTACAATGACTCTTTCCCTGCCCCTAAATGGATTTAAACTCCTAACCATTTCCCATTCACCTTTGTATCTCTGGCACTGGGCACAATGCTTAGTGTGTTGTTAGTATTCAAGACACGCTTGTAGAATTATTCCATGACCACAAGCACTAAAATCGCCAGAGAATTTAGGTCTGATTGTCACCCGAAGCTTTTCAGGGATAAAAATGTGAGCTTCAGCTTCCAGTGCAATAATTACAACTGCAGGACATGACTCCAAAGTTACATCTCATGCCAAGTCCAAAAGAAGCAGACCAGATAGAAAACTGTGTTGAGAGGGTTGCCTGCTGGAAATATTTTGAAATTTTAACACTAATATTAACTATCCCATCATTTTTTGCATCTTTTGCAAAGCCGTGGTGAATGAGGCCTTTATATAAGAGAGGAGGAAATGATTACACATGGATTGGACATTAGATGACATTATTGATGATAATACTCCAGCGTCCTGCAAGTTATCTTTAGAAGAGGCAAAAGTAGAACAGTTACAGTCTATCTGCTTTAAACGAGCCTGATAAATGTCAAGCTGGGATGGAGTTATCCTATTTTGAATGCATCAGTAAGCTTTAGGATGTTTATGTATGATGTATAACTAGAAAAATGAAGTCATCATATTATTTTATATGAAATGAATTAACCAATATATTTTCATTAAATTTCCATTAAGCTCAAATACAACTTTATGTAGGCAAATCCTGAGTGGAGGAATTTAGAAATGATGAGTAGCAATAGCATATAGCTGAAAATAAATATCTACAACTGTTTCTGGACTTTAATAATATAGTATTGAGAATGGAACTATACATTTGAATGTCCTCATCTTCATCCCTATCCTGATCAGGAGCTGACACTTACATACCTTTTATGGGAAAGGAAGGAAGAAACCTCCCATTTATTAAATAGCTATAAAATTTTGTTTCTAAGTCTATTTCCTGTGAGTTCACTATTCATTTTTCTCTTTGGCTTTATGCTTATTATTTTTGGAGCATCTAGTGTATGCCAGACATTTTACTGTGAATTAAAAGCACCTAAGTATGTAAGACACTTGTGTGCTCATCTATTAGACTCTGTGCACCTTGAAAAAAGAGAAAATAAACAATGCATGCAGTATAACATCATGGGTACATTTTTAGCCTGTTTAGGAGTCAGTGTGGAAAGCTGTTCATTATTTTTTGGTGACGGGGGCTGTCCATGATAAATTCACATAGTCATAATGCTGGGAGCTAGATCTTAAGAAAGTAAGAGAGTAGGCATTGTGAAGGTTTACAGCACAAGCTCTGGAACTGAATTTACTGAGTTCAAATCCCAGAGACCCACCACATACTAGCTGTGTCCTTTAAAAAGTTAAGTAACTTGTCAGTAAATCAGTGTTTTTATCTCTAAAATGGGGGCAATAGTAATACTTACCTTATAAATGTAAGAATTCAATAAGCTAAATACATTAAAAGAATTTAAAGCATATCTGTCATTGTATATACTCAAGGGATATACTTACATTGTATTAATAAATATTTGCATTGAATATTTACAGCTCTTACTTTCCATTTCTCCCTGGTAAGAGAAAAAAATAGCATCTGAGAAATAATGAATAATGAGAGGAGAAGCATGAGTTATGGGGCATTCAGGTAAACAATTATATAGTGCTGAAAATAAAAATAAAAACACCACCAACATTTATTGAATATTTAATACTGCCAAACAACCATGCTATGTTCCTGTGTTTCATTCTCACAACTCGGGGCAGTAGATAAGGATTGCCAAAAATCATTAGTTTTCTAACAAGATTAAAAAGACAAGATTGCTCATAACTCTATCAAGGAAAGGATATATGTAGCTACGAAGAGCAATGTGAGAAGTCACTTGGAGATGGCAACATGCCACCCGCCTCCCAAAGAGGCATGTTCAAGTATTCAAGGATCATCATCCTTCTGATATCTAAGAAAGTTAGATCCAAAAAAACCTGAAGTCTTCTGTCTTGCTGAATGGGATATGCAAGTATGGGGGTCCAGAACTTAACTGATCAGTACAGAGGAGACAAAACTGAGGACTGCCACCAGGGGTCCCACTGATCATTGCCAATGCCCTGTTATGTTTCTCTAATTAAACACTGAATTTAAAAAATAATTTTGGAACACATTAAGAACCTCAGAACTGTCTAATTCTATAGTTTATTATTAACTTCTAAGCAATATTATCTTTTATCATATTCTTATTTTAAAGTAGTTTTAACATTTAGATGCAAATAAAATCACGTATCTCTGGGAGATTTTGTAAAATAGCAATGGCTAGGCATTGCTTCCCTGTATCCTAAAATAGTAGATTGCAGTGGAATTCAGAAATTAGTATTTTTTTAAAGCCTCCTGGGTGATTTTAACCTCCCAGGGTTTTTTCAGGATTGAAATAAACAAACAAACAAATAAATGAATAAAACCGCTGTTATTCTACTTTTCTGTGGAGCAGCACTCAAGTGTAGTTAGTGAGTCTTCTCTGTGAAATATAAATCTTTAATTAGTATACTTATACATTTGAAACTTTAAAACATGGTTCTAGAGCTATAGTTCTCAAAGACTTGGGGATAAAGAACAAGAGAGAGTTGCTTACTATAGCATGATTTCTACCATAGGAAAGATCTTAGATTTGTTCCCTAGAACAGAAGGAAACCACCAAAGGACAATCACTAGGAAAGACGCAGGTTTCTGTCATAGCAAAAATCAAACTGACAAACTGACAATTTGAGATACAATTCAATTGAGAGATTACAAGTCTTAATGCCGGACATCAGCAATCAAAGAAATAAACTTTCTGTTTACTATCTGTTCCTTCCTCCTCACTTTTCTCAGTCTCTGGAACTATGTGGAAGCCAAAGAGGGCAGTAAACAGCAGACACTTTATAGGCAAAATTTTCACAGAATAAAACAATCATAGCAACTCATGTGGAGATTTAACTAAAATGTCATCTACTTCCCAACTTTTAGTTACAATAGAGCTAGTATCACATATCTATAAAGGATCTTGGATATATTCTCCCAAGTCATCAAACCTGAGGTATAAACTTCAATGTCTATGAAGTGAACTGCTTGCCTCCTTAAGGAAAAAACTTTCTCTGGGCAGTAACTGAACCCAGGAGTCCTGAGTCAGGGGCTAAACATCTCATTGTGTTTCCTTCTTTTATCAAGGCACACCTGTTCCTAATTGCATTCTTTATTTCTATTTATATTTTTAGACTGGAGAAGTGCCAGGAGGATTAATTACAGCAGTTAATGTTTCCATTTGAAAGGAGATGATACTCTGTAAGTACTAAATATTATTAAATGTAATGGAATTAAATTGCTTTAAAAGAGACAAATGGTATAATTCAGTATTTCACTGATGCCCAGAAAACTAAAACACTTCATGTTGAGTCATCAGGATAAAAGTAATAGAGATTTTTTTAAATTCTCCAAATCATATATAAAATGATTTCATTGAGTGTGTATCTCACTGATTCCTAATGAAACACAGATCTGTGTAAGACATGAGTGGCTGTAGACAAGTTGATGAGGAATGAATTAATTACCCAGTCATCCCAAATGGCATTTCTTTTAAAATATACATGATTTCCATGTTCTTACTCTCATTTCAGAACTGAAATAGTTCATTCTAGGAGAAGAATAGCATAAAATTAGGAGTATTCACTCCTTGCATTTAGATATTAATGAGAAGCCCCACCATCCTCACTCCTGTGGGAATCTCGCTTTGCCTGAAGGGGAAATATATACAGCTATTTTTTGTTTTCCCCTGCAATAACACAGAAGAGGCCCTACGCCTTGTCCACATGTCTAAGAATTGCAAATATACTTGCTAAATGTTAGTGTTAATAAATAACACATATGGCAAGTAACATTAAAATGTAAGGTACTGCTAATAATTAAGCTAGAAATAAAAAAATAAATAAAGTGCATCTGCCTGGTAACCTCTGGTTGTTAGTCATAGCTGAGAAAAATCCCTCAAATTTGTCCAAAGATCAACATGTTCAAGGGATTTTTATTCCCAAGGCATTTTCATGGAAAAGAGGGTGTACTGAATTGAGGTTAAACATGCAGTAGGCTGCCTGGGTCCTTGACCTGACTTCAGTGTGTACACACTGTGTGAACTTAAGCAATTTGCTCAATGTTCCTGTGAATTAACACAGTTCTCCATAAATGGGATGATACTAAATGAGATGATATATGTAAAATGTTCAGCACTGTGCCAGCTATTTAGTAAGCATTTATTAAATGCTCATCATTATCCTATTACGTGTAGCTGTACAGTATAAACACGTCCGTCACTCAGAAAAAGGAAAGGCTAGGAAGATGAGGAAATCAACAAGGGCTCATTCATAGAGAATAAGGCACTCATCTCTTCATAAGATTCTGAGTTTCTTAATTCCTAGAGGTGATGTTATTTGAGAAATACTTAATGCTCTTTAAAATTGGGTATCAATATAGATATTGGTGTTAGATACAGAAAGATGAAGACGGATAACAAATACTTCTATTTATCACAACAATTCAACTTGTTTCTAATTAGAATTAAGTTTCACATTTCAATTCAGAAAATATTTACAAACAAAACATGAATTGGAAAAAACTTCATTGTTACCTAATCCGGAAAAATAATGATTTCTAAGTCTTCCAGATTATCAAGATTAATACCCGCAGACATCGTTCTAAATTTAAATAAACAAAGCTTGAAGATGGGGAAGCATTATTTTTCCTCCTTTGCAGATTTTTCTTTGACAGCTAAGTTTAATTTATGCCATCATTGGGTAAATATTCACCAGGTGACTTTTACTGCGATGTTTGAAGAACCTAGCTACCTATTTCATAACATGACATTATAATTTATTAGCATTCCAATTAAAAACATAATTTGTCTATAACCTTCAAGTTTATTATTTATACTGCACCTTCCTAGTAGCTAATAAATCATTTGTAATTGACTATAATACCAAAAAGCTAAATACCAAGCCCTATAATAATCTGAAAATGATGGGCTATGCAAATAGATCTGCCTCTCCTGCTACACATAAAGTTAGAGAAAAGGGTAAAGGTTTAGCAATTTGTAGAAAGATGTGAAACAATATTGTAAATAGCTGTCACTAACGGACTATCTGCCATTTCCAGGGACATAAGCATTATTTGTCACATGGCACAGATAAGAAGCTGAGACTCAAAGAATGTAAGAAACCCATACTAGAGCACATAGACTCCAAGTGAAGGGGACAGGATTTTAGCTAGAAATACCTGGCTCACAAAACATCAAACCACTTCCAACACATCTCTTCCAAACCCAAACAAAAGAGGTGCATTCCCTTCTTAGCATATCTCCTTATTAATTCACCCATTTTACCACATCAAAAATAATCAATATCAAAGAGAAAATACAATTCAGTTTTGAATTATATTTCTAGGTTAGTCATAGATTTTTTTTTACATAAAAAGAATTTATTAAAAATAAACTTCTACCTCTTATCTCCTTTGACATCTTTCTTACGTCGAATGCTGCACATCAACGTGAGTCACCACAGGATCGAATTATACTCTGCTCCTTGCCCCATCTAATATTTATTTGCACATTAAAGATAACACGACTGGCTAGAATTGGCTTCTGAATATGTGTGCTCCTTATCAAGGCCACAGTTTACAGCTTTGCTAGGGAGAGCTATGGTAATGAACTACTTGATCTTTTTTTTTTTTTTTTTTTGAGACGGAGCCTCGCTCTGTCGTCCAGGCTGGAGTGCAGTGGCGCGATCTCGGCTCACTGCAACCTCCACCTCCCAGGTTCAAGCAGTTCTCCTACCTCAGCCTCCTGCGTAGCTGGGACTACTACAGGCGTGCGCCACCATGCCCAGCTAATTTTTGTATTTTTAGTACAGACAGGATTTCACCATGTTGGCCAGGACGGTCCCAATCTCTTGACCTCGTGATCGGCCCTCCTCGGCCTCCCAAAGTTCTGGGATTACAGGCGTGAGCCACTGCGCCCAGCCGGACTATTTTATCTTAAAGAGAGACTTGGAAGAGAGGCTGCTGGAATCCCTAAAGTCTACCTGGATCTGATGTAATCATGTCTGGCTGACTCAACAGCAGCGGCTTGGAAATAAAATGCAATACGGAACACCTGGAGAGATGCCTCCTTCTCTTTGTCTATCTTTCAAGCATCCCAGACTCAACTTTTAAGATGTCTCAGATCTCAGGACAAGAGAAACACTTGCGTAATGATAATCATAAAAACAGTAATAGCAGCAATGCTAATAATAAGAAAATGTAGGAAGATGTGGGAATTAGAAATGAGCATATTAATCTTGTAGCATTTTGAATGCACATAGAACTCAATCAAGTTGAACTTGACACAGAAAAATATACAGTAATTTCGTGAGAATGCAAGATTGCTTTCCAACAATTGTCACAATCCACAAGAAAAATAAACAGGTAAGGCAAATTGCATTCATCTTTTGTTCTCATTTTATTCATGTGCAGACTTAAAAGACAGTTTCAGTTGTATGGTGAAATTTCCGGAGATATGACCTAGAAATGTGGCTAATACCTTTTTTCCTCTTCTTTTATTGGAAAGTTAAGATTTCTTCAAAGAGTATCTTCGTATAGATCTTCTTTGACCCAAAATGATTTGAATTATAATAATGAAAAACAATAAGTAAAACAAAGCGTCATATTCTCCCTTGAAATACTCTCTTTTTCTTGATTTGCAGAATATATCACTCTCCTGTTCTTTTTGTTTTGTTTTGTTTGAAACAGAGTTTCACTCTTCACTCTTGTTGCCCAGGCTGGAGTGCAATGGCACAGTCTCCGCTCACTGCAACCTCCGTCTCCCAAGTTCAAGCAATTCTCCTGCCTCAGCCTCCCAAGTGGCTGGGATTATGGGCATGTGCCACCAAACCCGGATAACTTTTAGTAGAGACAGGGTTTCACTGTGTTGATCAGGCTGGTCTTGAATTCCTAACCTCAGGTGATCCACCCCCCTTGCCCTCACAAATTGCTGGGATTACAGACATGAGCCACCACATCTGGCCTCCTATTTTGTTTTGTTTTGTTTTGCTTTTTCCTGATTGCATTATCTTTCATAATCTTAATCTCCTCTGTTGACACCCTTTTCTTTTGCAGAACTCAAAAGACTGGCTCCCTCCAGTAGCATCCTCAATTTTCTCTATTTACACACTCTCCTTAGGAGATCTTATCTCATCCTTTGATCTCTCCCTTATACATTAACCTGCTCCTCGTTTTAGTAAATGGCCATACCATCTACCCAATAAGTTCTCCTGACCCCTCTCTTCTCACAAACACTACATCTAAATAGTGGGTAAGAAGTGGTGGCTCATTCTCTAAAAATATTCCTGAAGTCCCAGTTTTATTATTTCCAATGCTACCCATTCTCTATATTATAGCCTAATTGATCATTTTGATTTTTTTTAAAGAATCATGCTGTTGCCCTCAGTTTAAAACTCTTCAGTACCCACCCATCACATTTAGAAAACAGACTAAGGAATGGGCACAGTGGCTCACACCTGTAATCCCAGTACTTGGGAGATCAAGGTGAAAGGATCACTTCTGCCCAGGAGTTTGATACCAGCCTGGGCAATGTCATGAGACCTCACCTTTACAAAAATAAAAATAAAAAATTAGCTGGGTGTGGTGAGGTACACCTGTAGTCCTAGCTGCTCAGAAGGCTGAGATGGGAGAATTGCTTGAGCCTAAGAGTTGCAGGTTACAGTGAGCTGTAATCCTACATCTGCACTCCAGCCTGGGCTACAGGTTACAGAGTGAGACTGCCTCTAAAACAAAACAAAACAAAACAAAAAGAGGAGAGGAGAGGAAACGGGCTAAGCTCATTATCTTGATTCACATAGTGACCTATGTTACCTGACCTTGATCTTACACTCCAACTTCATCTCATACCACTCTACTGCTAGCTCACAACTCACCAACCACCTGGATTTCTTTCTGTTCCTCTAACAAGTTCACCTTGTTCCTTGTTAAAGACATTTTCATTACTCCCCCTTTTCTTTCCATAGTTGGTTACTTCTAGTCATGCACAGGGTAGCTTTGAAAAACACCAGTTCCAGCTGGGCATGGTGACACACACCTGTAATCCCAGCACTTTGGGAGGCTGAGGTGTGAGGCTCACTTGAGCCCAGGAATTCAACACCAGCCTGGACAACACGGCAAAACCGCACCTCTACAAAATATACAAAAAAGTGGTCCATGCCTGTAGTCCCAGCTATTTGAGAAGCTTAGGTGGGAAGATCGCTTGAGTCCGGGAGGCAGAGGTTGCAGTGAGCTGAGATGCTGCCACTGCACCATCTTGCCTGGACAAAAGAGTGAGACCTTGTTTCAAAAAGACAAAATCAAACCAAAACAAAAAAAGAAAAACACCAATACAGAAAATATTTTCCAGAAATCCCAAACTAATCATCCAGTCATTCTGCATTATATCACTCTGTTTCATCTTCTGTATTTCCTTATTCTCCAACCTGAGACACTAGAATATAAACTTCATGAAAGTAGAGGCCTTATCTGGATTCGTCTGTATTTCAGCACCTAGAAGAGTGGCTATTTCAGCACCTAGAAGAGTGGCTCACTAACATTACGTGTTGCGTGGTAGATTGCTGAATGAGAGAACAAACGAATGTAAACAAACAAGGTGGTAGTAAAATGAATTTTCATCAGCTAGATTCTAAACACATGAGAAAGATAAAATTCAGGGGATATATTCTGTCCTTCTTTAGATTAGTTTGGGATTCTGGATAGGTGTTTGCAGATCAATTTCATGTCAAAATAGTATGGAGCTTTTGATAGAGTGGTCATTCTACTCTGACACAAAACCTAACTGCTCACATGAATACCAAATAATCCCTTACCATGTCTACATAAGAACTGGGTTTATTCAGACACACAAGGCATTTTATATGTTTTTTGAATAAATATGTATTCTATTTTCCATGTACTGTGTTAACTTTGGAAAATATAAGTGAGACAGAGTCCCTTTCTCAGATCCCTTGATCTAATGCAGATAGTAGAACAATAAATACAAAATTAATACTACAACATGAAAAGTGAAATAATATTATAGGAAGGTATTATAGAGCTCAGAGGCTGAATAACACAGAGAAGGCATCTTTGGAAGATTCTCAAAGCAACAGAAGAGTTAGGTGAGAACTGAGAAAAACAGAATGAGGCATAGTGTCAACAAAAGAAGGGAATCAATTTACCAAAGCCAGTGGAAGAAAACTCTCAAGTAGACAGAAGTAGATAAAGCACATCAACAGCATAGCTTAATGGTAATAACTGGATCCTTTTAGACTGGGTTTGCATTCCAGCTTCCCTGAATAGGAGTTGTGTGTCTTTTGGGCAAGCTACTTATTATTTCCTTCTACAGAGGAGAACCATGGAGGCTTGGAGAGCATTGTTCATTACCTCAGAGGGGCATTGTGAGGCTGGAATGAGACAATAATAGGTATAAAATATGTAACGTCACAGTTCTTGGCACATGAGTGCCCCGTGAATTTTGCAACACTCAGTTGAGAAGCACAAAGTGACAGGAAATGAGTTAAAGGGATAGACAGGAGCCAAATTAAAGAGTCTGGATGTTGATTGTCTGAGAATTTGTAATTGTTGCTGCTTTGAATTCAGATACGTTTAACAGAAAAAATATACCTCTAAGGGTTCTCAGTTGTTCCCTTCTAAATACTGCTGGGGGAGGTGGCATTGCCTGTTAGATACACAGTTTAGTTGTTTCAATATTGCCTGTATTGATTATTAGCTGAATCACCTGTTTCAAATTATTTAAGCTTTCACCTCTTCTTTTAAAATCAGGAATAATTTTGGCAGCTAACTTATTAGGTTTTTATGAGAATTAAACATATTAAATCAGTGTAAATCACTTACATTTTGAGAGATATTAATATCAACAAATGCACAATAAATAGGAGCAGGCGGGGTGTGGTGGCTCATGCCTGTAATGCCAGCACTTTAAGAGCTGGAGGCAGAAGAATTACTTGAGGCCAGGATTTTCACACCAGTCTGTGCTGCATAGTTAGACCCTATCTCCAAAATAAATAAATAAATAAGACCAATGCAACAGGCATGGTTCTGGTTTTCTCATTTTTTTAAACAAGGCTTCTCAAGTTCAAGGATGTCTGTCAATAATGCAAAAACAGAAATTAAAGTAAAAAGTGCATAGATATAGGTATAGATATAAAATTAAATTCCTATCAATGATAAAGGAAAGAAAAAAAAATGGCCCAAATCTAAGACAGCAGGTTCAAAGAAAACTCAAGTTCATCACATTTACTGCAATGGAAGATCCAGTATTGTTGCCCATTATAGTCAGGGCCTTACCATCAGCACTTTAGTGAGGAGAACATTTGGCTTTTGAGTCTGACACTCCTGAGTTTGAATTGAGGTTTCATTCTTAAGAACTCTGTGATGTTAGCAAATTCTTAAACTTTTGGAGACTTTTAAAAATTGTTTCTAAAGAAGACGTGAGATTATCCATACAACAGGGTCATTGTGAAGATTAAATGCAATGGTAAATGAGAAATGCACTCTATCTTTGTTAATAGAATTTGCATCGGAATGATCACAAAGTCAGCTGCTTCTTAAAAAACGGTTATTACTGCTCAGAGAGACACATGGTAGCTGGCAGGATACTCAAGCCTCAATCAGTCCTGCCAAAAGGCCAATTTCGTTTTGTGCCTAGATGCATGATTAAAAAAAAAAAAAAAAAAAAGATTCAAGTTTATCCACTCCGATATGTCATCTTTCTTACCCTCAAAGGTTACCTGAACTCATAGGCAATGTGGATCTCTGGGAGCATCCCTACTCAAAGGTTAGCTGCAAAGTCTAAGTTTGCTTAAGAGTTAAGAACTTGACAAGGAAGAACAGAGAAGAGCAGACGGTTGAGGAGTGCTAACACCTTCTTTAGGAAATCCAAACCCAGGGAGTCATCAGCAAAGGCTGAGGGATTAGCTTCAAGGAAAATAGCTATTTCAAGACACTGAGGAGAAATTAGAAACGACCAGCTGGTGTGAATCAAGAGAAATATGTTGCTAAAAGGTAGTGGGGCAAGCTGTTTACAGGGAACTAGGCTTTCTAACAGCTTTCTCAGGCACCGTGATTTTTTTGTTTTGTTTTGTTTCTTTCACTATTTCCTCCGATTTTTCTTCTAAATCCTTTGGAAGGCTGTAGAATGAATGGCTGTAAAATGTGAAAAGAAACGTGGCTGAATCAAAGGATGCTTTGTGATTTCTCTTTATTTTAATGAGTCACAGGCAGAATGGATTTTGGCATCTTCAAAACTGCTATCTGTCAAAGGATTCTCAAAAATTTGAGTTCACCTTCCTGTTCTGAAGTTTCTACTGCCTCCTGCCCACTCCTAATATCCCACTTGCACACAGGAAAACATACACACATGTGCATGCACACACACACAGAGGACCTCTGAAACACACTCATGGCCAAAGATCTACCCTGCTGTTTTGGAGAAGACCACCAGGTGTCCTCTAGTGGTTCTTTTGCTTTTTCTGGCCTAAGATCCTTCAGAAAATTGTATAGTCAAAGACCCCACAGGAAGTTTGAGCAAGACTGGGAACTCTTTTCTATTTCTGTAAAGCAAAAACTATGTCTTCAAGAAACAGTGGAACTCACAAGAATTGAAGATTGTGTGTCTTTCATGGTGCCTAACAGAATTCTAAAGAAAGCATTAGTTTTTACACCTAGATGTAAAGTATTCTTGGAGAAGCAATTTAGGGAAAATTAAAGGAGATAAATTTCAGAGCCAGGCACAATAGGACTTGAGTTCCAGCTTCAACAGTTGATGCTTGCTCAAGCTTTTACTTTCTCCTTTGAGGTAGGCAATAGAATCATGCTTATTTAATAGGTTAGGAAACTGGCGTTTGATAGGTCACAGCTTTGGTACATAGTAAATGTTCAATACACAAGTTTTCTTCCATCTTTTCCCCTCACATACATTAACCCTCTTGATCCTGAAAACAGATGCAATTTAGGTGAAACAGGGTTACTCTGAAGGTCAATGCCACAAAGCAACTTGCCCAAGTAGACACTGCCTATCAAGCTATCTGTTGATTCTATTCTGCACAATTTGGACTCCTAATAAATAATTCCTAAACTGAATAGCAATACTTCTCTTCTTCTCTTGGGTGATGCAGAACAATCTTAGGTGCAGAATTTATAGAGCAGAAGAGAAATGATTGATGTTCCATGTAGAACACAGAATCAAACTGTGTGGTAACTAAGATTGGCAAAACTGTTATCTGTTTCCTGTGTAAATGTTCAACTCTCCTATTTACCAGGTAGATGTCAGTATAAGGAGTTTGAAACATCTCTGCTTCCTAAGCCCAAGAATTTCAAGACTGATCAAAAAACAGTGTCACAAACAGTACCAAAACAACTTCACCCCATTATTTAATTCTATACATGAATATTATTTCTAAATTGAAGTATATTTGACTTAAGATTGAGTATGACTATTATTGCAATGACTACAAAGACATGAGGCAAATATGATTTTTCTGCAAGGCAATAAAATATTTTTATATGAAAACAGTTTGAATTAAAAATTATATTAAATGTGTCAAAGAAAATGTTGAACATTCCCCAAGCACATATTTTTGTACCTATACCATTCAGGGATAGATTAAACTTCTTTTCAGTCACATGGATTCATCAAACCTGTATTGCATTCCTATCATTTGCCAGAGAAGTTACACACAGGAATGATGAATAATACATGGTCCCTGCCTTCAAGGAGTTCTCATTCTAGGTTGAATTTTCTCCCCCTATATATGTGAGTCTGTGGAAAGTAAAATAGAGCAGAATTTGTTTCAGACAGTGTAAATCTGAGGGAAAGTAAAAAACATTTTTTCCTCTAAATGAAATAACACATTCCTTTTCAGACTTAATATATGAATGTGATTTTTTTCTTGTTCTACATGTTTGTTTTAACTCATTCTTTAAAAAGCTTCATTCATTATTCTAGAGTATTACAAGTTATGTCTAAGATTAAAATAAATGTTAAATGGTTTTAATATATATTTAAATGTCAACACTGAATTGTTATTGGTCAACTTACAGAGCTATTAGGGCTCTGTTCTCAAATAAGGGATGGCTCGAGAAAATGAAAATAACCCAAGGGCATGCTCAGCTGATGGAATTTTTATCCATACAGTGAGATAGTCAGGCAAACTCTGTGGTCAAGAGCACAGGTCTTCCAGTAACGTGCCATTCACAGTCTCCATTAAATCTTCCCTGACCCTATTTCTGTCCTGGACTAGTTATCCAATACCCAAGAGCCTCACATTTGATACTGGCACAATAATGAGAAAACCACACAAAAATCAATCAATCATACAAACGTATGACCCTAAATTTGGGGAAAAACTAAGAAGGTGTTTGGAGGGAGCTGATTCTGTAAAAAATAACATAATGGAAGAGACAGATATTAAAATATGTATGAAAGCATTAACTTAAAACTGCCTATAAGAATTAGCTTCTGAGGATTTCTGATCTCCTGCTTCTCTGCTCGTTCTGATCTAATCATTGTCGGGTATATTTTAAAAAATATATCATGAAGTTGGAAGAAGTTGAGAACACAGCCAAAATCTAACATCATCTAGAACAGTGCCTCCCCAATAGTAGACACACTACTCATTCATTATTCACCAAATATCTTTCAATATGTAACCAGAATACAATGAGGGCTCCAAGTGGAAAATATGCTGTCCCCCAAAGGTTATCTAAATTCATAGGCAATGTGCATCTCTGGGAGCTTCCCTACTCAAAGGTTAACTGTGAAGCCTATATTTGCTTAAGAGATAAGAACTTAACAAGGAAAAACAGAGAAGAGCAGACAGTTGAAGAGTCCCAACACCTTCTTTACAAATACAAACCCAGGGAGTCATTGTTGAAAGAAACAATAGCCCAACAATAGATGTTAAATCCGTAGCTTTAAGCCCGCTCAAGAAAATGCTAAAGACGAGAGTATATTCTAATTGTTGGAACAGTGTCTTTTTAAGAAATCTTCCTTTTTAAAATTTTTATTCTTAATATTTTTGACAAAAATAGAAAGTAATCTGTAAAACTCTTCTTTCGAATCGCATAACCCATCCCGACATCAGTGGGTCACACAAGTATACTAATCCCATGGAGGTGAAAGTGGAGAAGAGAATGAACATGTTCAAAAGTAATCTTACATATCAAAAGTGTTTAAATGCATTTTTGTAAACAGTACCTACCGTGTGTATCTTATCTCACATCTCTAAATTGGAGATACACAGTAGAGGTCAGAATTTAAAAAGTTCTGATTACTCTTGCAATGAAGAAACATATTACAATTTAAATAACTCATGAGTCTTGTAGTTGATATTGAGAATCTCTGTTTCACATTGTCGCAGCCGCCAGACTAAAGACATGGGTATCAGGCTTTCTGGGAAAGGACTCTCTAACAACCCCTGACTCTTTGGAGTTGGGAGCGTAGAAGGCAGCTGGACTTCCTGGGTGGAGTGGGGACTTGGAGAACTTTTCTGTCTAGCTAGAGGATTGTAAATGCACCAATCAGCACTCTGTGCTAGCTAAAGGATTGTAAATGCACCAATCAGCACTCTGTAAAATGGACCAATCAGCACTCTGTAAAGTGGACCAATCAGCAGGAAGTGGGTGGGGACAAATAAGAGAATAAAAGCTGGCCACCCCAGCCAGCAGCAGCAACCTGCTTGGGTCCCCTTCCACACTGTGGAAGCTTTGTTCTTTCACTCTTCACAATAAATCTTGCTGCTGCTCACTCTTTGGGTCCACACCACCTTTAAAAGCTGTAACACTCCGCCAAGGTCTGCAGCTTCATTCTTGAAGTCAACAAGACCGAGAACCCACTGGAAGGAACCAACTCTGGACACAACATGACATCTATTAATACCTTATAGGATATGCTTGGGAAAATGTTACAGTTAAGACATTTTGGCTGGACATGGGGACTCACATCTGCAATCCCAGCACTTTGGGAAGCCAAGGCGGCAGATCACTTGATCCCAGGAGTTCGAGACCAACCTGGGCAACATGGCAAAACCCCATCTCTACTAAATAATAATAATACAAAAATTAGCCAGGCATTGTGGTGCATGCCTGTAGTCCCAACTCTCAGGGGGCTGAGGTAGGAAGATTGCTTAAACATGGGTGGTTGAGGCTGCAATGAGCCATGATCCTGCCACTGCAATTCAGCCTGGGTGGCAGAGCAAGACCCTGTCTTAAAAAAAAAAAAAAATCCTAAGCTTCATGAACCACTGCATCACACTGGCAGTTGCTATTCCCTGGCTTCTTGCAGCATATATAGCCTGAATAATCCTGAAATCAAGACAGTCAGGGACCTACAAATGAGGTTGTACAGCAAAATTATCGATAAAGCACTTTCTGTCTATAAAGGATGAACACAATATACTCCCTGGTAAGTGATACAGGTTGTAATACAGAAGGCAAGCCTTTTTGATCTCAAATGAATTTTTTTTTCTTCCTCTCTGACTTCTCTGTTGAGAGAAGGTGCAAGAGATAAGACAGAGAGTAGGATATTTTTAGCTGAGAAGCAGCTCTTCATAAGAAAGACAACTTCAGGGAAATATTGCTGGTAGGTACTAGATTTTACTCTATTTACCGGATGTGCATAAGAGTTCAATACTTATTGTTGAGTGAATCAATGTTTAAAAAAATTAAATGATTTGAGTGCAGAGTAGCAGAAGGGATGCGACTGGGTGTCTATCCCACTTATGACTTCTGCTTAATGGCTTTGTGACAAAAGTTACAATATAAAGAACTACGGTGTCAAGATATGAGACTGCATTGTCTTAACTTTCCTTTGAAAATAATTGAATAACAAAATATCTACTTCATTTCTTATTTTCCCCCCAAAACCAGTTTAAATATAATTCCTTGTTATTTATATTTTTATGTCATTAAAACCGCATATTCACTATACAGCCATAAAAAAAGAACAAAATCATGTCTTTTGTGGGAACATGGATGGGACGGGGGCCATTACCCTTTGCAAACTAATGCAGGAACAGAAACTCAAACATTGCATGTTCTCACTTATAAGTGGAAGCTAAATGATGAGAATTCATGAACATAAAGAAGGGAACAAAAGGCACTGGGGTCTATTTGAGGGGGAAGGGTAGGAGAAAGAAGAGGAACAGAAAAGATAACTCTTGGGTACCAGGCTTAATACCTGAGTGATGAAATAATCCATACAACAACCCCCCATGACACAAGTTTACTTATGTAACAAACCTGTACACTTACCCCCGAACCTAAAATAAAAGTTAAAAAAAACCTCCACATTCCAGTCTTTGGATAACTAGTAATCATCATCATCATCATCATCATCATCATCATGGCAGGTATATTTGAATGGGCACTTTCTTTTTACCAGACATGATGCTGAACAATACACATATATTTCATTTTATCTTCCCAATACATGTATAAAAGATGCCATATGGGCCGGGCATGGTGGCTCATGCCTGTAATCCCAGCACTTTGGGAGGCTGAGGCAGGCGGATCACGAGGTCAGGAGATCGAGACCATCCTGGCTAACAAGGCAAAACCCAGTCTTTACTAAAAATACAAAAAAAATTAGCTGGGCGTGCTGGCGGGCGCCTATAGTCCCAGCTACTTGGGAGGCTGAGGCAGGAGAATGGCATGAACCTGGGAGGCAGAGCTTGCAGTGAGCCGAGATCATGCCACTGCACTCCAGCCTGGGCAACAGAGTGAGACTCCGTCTCAAAAAAAAAAAAAAAAAAGATGCCATATGATCTTCTTTTTGTATATGACAAAACAGAACTCAAATAATTTTTTTAAAAAACTGTCCTAGGTTATTCAACTAGCGTGAAAATACTGGGATTCCTTTTTTTACATATTGCAATGGATTTCACATTTTACTATACTGAAGTCAAAAGCCTGAAGCAGCTTCTAAACTACCATTATCCTTTCCTCACCTACAGCACTTTTATAGGATGTTAATTCCTTCATGCCTCTCTCTCCTCCTTTTCTCTTTACTTATTGAAAGGGTTATGATTTCCCCATGAGCCACTACATTAAACAATAAAATACTGCAGGTATCCCTCACCAAGAGGAAATACATTTAAAATTTAATAATGAAATCAATGGGAAACGGGATTTGCTTCACAAGAATTTGTCAACTTTGCTGGAATTCATTCATTGTATAAGCTAATAGAAAACTTTGATGTGGAGAGAAATGGAACAAACTCCCAAGAAGTTACTGAATATTATCGAAGACAGTGGCCATGTCTTCTACTTTATCTGTGTGGCTCCCAAAGTTGAACTCTTTAGAGCTGATGTTGACTAATTGTCTGTTAAAACGTCTTTTTTGAGATTTGTGAAAATTATAATTCTCATTATTAATAGGAGTCAAAATAATGAGCAAAATAAACTATCATTTCTTCCATGGGTTTGTGAAATAGGAATAAAATACCACTACCACAGCTAAAGAATACCACAGAAGAACTCCATTCATTAATTAATTCAAAAATAAATATATTTTGAGCTCCCTTACTGTGCTAGGTGCTGAGAATATAATAATGTACAGTTGGATTTGGGAGACAGACTTATGGTTTTACTTATGGCATTTGTGTTGCTAAGTGTTATAAAAGATAGGTATTGGGCATCATGTAAGAATGAATAAAGAGGTTTGGCTTCATGGAGAAGTGCCAGGGAGAGCTTCTCAAATGAAGTAAACATGTAAAAGATTTTCAGAAGGCTGGGAGTTAGCAGGCTGGTTGCTGAAATGGCAGAGGAGGTGAATTCAAAATAGAGGAAATACATCATGAAAACCATGGAGGAAACAATCTATGCAAAAGTCAAAAATTAAAAGAGGCTAGAGCTGGAGGAATGCAAATACTGTTGAAGAGGTTGCATGATCTGCAGAAGGTTGAATAAGCAAGCAGGGGCAAAATTATGCAATGTTTATTAGGGATCCTCGGAATGTTATCTCCTATGGGCAATAAAAAATAATTTATGTGTTGTGCTGTCTCGAATAATTTTCACAAAATGCAAATCAAATTATATCCCCTCTATGATTAAGTGTAGAGCACATATTGGGAATCAGAGCAAATGGATACAAAGAGATGACTTAGAATACCTAGGTAACAATTCAAGGAGGATCTTCATTTGCATCCTGCTATTGTCTGTGTTTTTATGTCTCCCTAATATTCCTATGTTGAAATTTAAATCCCCATGTGAGGATGGTAGGAGGTAGGGCCTTTGGGAGGTGATTAGGTAACGTGGGCTGACTCACTCTCCTGAATGGGATTAGTGCACTAATATAAAAGGATCCACTCTCAATCCTTCCACCATGTGGGGACACAGAGAGAACTTGTCAGAAGGTGCCATCTATGAACCAGAAAGTAACCCATAACCAGACACCAAATGTGTTGGTGCCCAGATCTTGGACTTCCCAGGCAGCCTGAACTGAATGGACTAAGACAGAGCTCAAGGGTAGAGGAATAAAGAGAACTATATAAATTAATACAAGACATATTAAGAATGTATAATTTTCATGGAGCAGAGCTTTCCATATTTCTCATACTTCTGCTATTCTTCTTCATCTACTTGATATTTTTTCTGTACAGGAACACTATTAATTTATTTCTTGCTCACCATGAAATACATTTTAAAATAACTTGTCATATTGTTATTAATGGGAAAACTGATGTCATATTATGAAGAGAACATTACAAATACAGTGAAAAAGAAAACTATATATAATGCTAGTTCTTGTCTCCCAAAATTTCTGAGTATGAGACCAATTTTTCTTACAAAAAAAAAAAAGACACTGGAGCCAGTCCTGGTGGCTCATGCCTGCAATCCCAGCACTTTGGAAGGCAGAGGTGGGACGATTGCTTGAGCCCAGGAATTCGAGACCAGCCTGGGCAACTTGGCAACACCCTGTCTCTACAAAAAAATACAAAAACTAGCCAGGCATGGTGGCACATATCTGTAGTTGCAGCTACTTGGGGGGCTGAGGCGGGAGAATCGCTTGAGCCCAAGTGGTCGAGGCTGCAGTGAACTGGGATTGTGGGATTGTGCCACTGTACTCCAGCCTGGGCAACAGAGTGAGACTCTGTCTCAAAAAGAAAAAAAAAACTTTATATATATATATATATATATATATATATATAAAATACCTTAATAACATGCTATCTACTATATAGAGACTTTCTCCTTCAAATATCAAAGGACTCAGAACTAAACATTGAATAACTGCTTCCAAGAGATTACATTTTGTTTAATGTTGTATTGACCAACTCCATAAAATCGTCTCATTTAATACACCATGTTTGCAATGTATAATTGCCAGATTTAGAGGTTAACAAGGGGAGTAATGCACTAGGCTGAACTCTTTTCATGTCAGGGCTTCCCATATCTTGCTAAAACACATTTTGAAGTTGGTTGTTCAGCTCTCATCTATCCACCATGGAGAAAGGAGGAGGAAAAACCCATTATATATGATGTCCATCTTTCCCAGTTACTTGGTTCTCACCCTCTCACCTATTGAGGGTTTCACATCAAAACAATTATTCCAGTCCCAGAGCCAATGATAATGTTAATAGTGTGGTCTCTATTAAAAACTGGGACTGGGTTTTAAATATCTTTGTATCCGTAGAACCTACAATTAAATTTGACTCATGATAAATACTCGAAATGCACTTTGGGAGGCCGAGGCGGGTGGATCACAAGGTCAGGAGATTGAGGCCATCCTTACTAACACGGTGAAACCCTGTCTCTACTAAAAATACAAAAAAATTAGCTGGGCATGGTGGTGGGTGCCTGTAGTCCCGGCTACTCAGGAGGCTGAGGCAGGGGAATGGCGTGAACCCGGAGGCAGAGCTTGCAGTGAGCCGAGATTGGGCCACTGTACTCCAGCCTGGGCAACAGAGCGAGACTCCATCTCAAAAAAAAAAAAAAAAAGAAAGAAAGAAAGAAAGATAAATACAGGAAATGAATTTGCAAAACAAAAATACTTTTAAAAACCAGCCCAAGCTCATATAATTATTCAATTGTTGAATTCAAATTAGAGTAGCCTAAGTCCCAATCTTTAACTGTGGGAGAAGTGAAATATCTAAGCAATAATGAACACATCTGTAAATATAAACTCTGCTTTGTAGCAATAATATGAAAAACTAAGACATAATGAACCACCATTATTTCATTGTATTTCAGCAGTAACCTTCTAAAGTGGGTATTGGATCCACTTCACAGATGTAGAAATGAAACAGAGTCAGGGAAATGGCATTACCAAGTCCATAGACCTACTAAATGTGTAAGAAAAGGATTTGCACCTAATAAACGACATGCTATCCTCCACTGTAGACTATTGATATTCATATAACAAAATGGGTTACTGTTTTCTCTTCAGATGTCCTAGTACCTCTGTTAAATCAAGGTTAGCCTAAAGCTGCCTACTTACATACTTAAGTCAACCTAAAGATTTCTCTATATATAATGAACCATAACCTAATGGAGGTATAAACAGACCATAACCTACTCTTGTGCCAATCATTGAGTTTTGGCCAAAGGGGCCAGCTGTTCAAACCATGTTCAAATAAAGCAAACATCAAGCTGTAGCCAATCCCGCTGTTTGTGTACATCAATTCTGTTTTCTGTATGCCACCGTCCTTTTCTGTTCATAAACCTTGTACTACATGGCTGCAGAGGAGTCTCTTTGAGCCTCTGGTTCAGAGAGCTGCCTGATTTCTGAATCGTGCTTTGGTCAATTAAATTCTGTTAAATTTAGTTTGACTGAAATTTTTCTCTTAAAACCTCATAGACATAAACTTCATCTACTTTCTTAATTTTTTCTTTCTTTTTTTTAATTACCATTTACAAGAAAGAGTTTATCATAAGGTCATTTAAAAGTGGTCACACAAAACTCTGGATAACTTTAAACAGGGAAATCCTAGCAGGAAGGATGTTTCTGATAGTCTGTAAAAATACAAACCAGCTCAATTACAGTGCCTAGTATCTTGTAAAGATGCATCTTCTAGGGCTTCTGGAAAATTCAAAACTATTGGGTTCTCTCCATGGCAAATGTTTAACTGCTGGGATATTCTTAATCAGTAAGTGCCCCCAAATACACAGTTCCATTATCACCGTTGCCATCTGAGAGTACAATAGCATGTAAATAAAAGCTATCCCACAATTAAACAAACAGGTAGAACTGAGTTCTTTATTACAATAATTCAAATACCTTTATTTACATTAAAATTATTAAGCTTACAAATAATTGTATCCAATCACTTAACTACATTAGTGTTCAAATAAAAGGAAGAAAATATTAAAATATGTTTAACTTTTTCTAAATTTCCATGTATAACTTAGTAATAAGACAAAGAGTATCAACCCTGTAAACTAGTTGTCAAAAATTTGTATACACACACTATAGAAACACTCATATACATTCACTTTTTAAGAATATCTACACGCTGAAGTTAAAAATCTCTTCTGATCTCCTTTTTTAAAAATGTTCATTGCATAACAGAAGTGATATTTATGTGTTTGTTTTGTTCTAAAAGAGGCAAGACAACCTTTGAAAAAGCACAAGCCTTACCTTATCTTAAGGTAAACTCAAAGAAAATGTCTACAATTTACTCAAATAACCACTAACTCCAAATAATCCATCTTGAAAAAGAGGAAAGAAAGGGAGTAAATTTACATTGTGTTCTATTATATTCTTTAATGTTATCTAATTTCCAAACAGCATACCCAAGGTAATGCAAATTCTGTTTTATGAGGGCAAATTAAGCCTAATATGCATAAACACAAAGCAGTATCTATTTTTACCATAAAAATACCAAGTCCCTGAACAGTATTTTTATGATGCTGCTTAACAAGTTTGTATTTCCTTGGCAGGAATTTATTTTACTTCTCAAGTATAAAACAGAAATAAAATAAAAGAATAAAAATGAGGTAAAATGCTCAATTCTGTGCAACTCATTCCAACTTCAATAGTATTTTTATTGGTATTGATTTTCTTTACCCGGCACCCTCAGGGATGGACTTGAAGTTCTTCATGTAGGTGGTCTAGTTTGTAGGGTCCTTAAAACTAACATTGCATGATTACCTGCATTCTCTCCAACCCACTTTCATCCTCCTTGTGGTCAAAATAGTCCATATTCCTAGGTCAGTCCTTGTGTTCAATAAAATGCAGACGCTTCATTAAGAACATTAGATGTACCTGGGTAATTTAGTATTTCCAACTGATTTTCAGAGTAGATTAGGTGTTAATGTAATATTGCTTGGCAAATCATTTCAGCAGAAGCAAGTTAGTAGAAATGGTTATATATTCAAAATTAGGTTTTGGCCAATTGATTCTTAATTACACAATCAGAGACTCAAGAGATCAAAGTTAATAGTCCTTCCTCCTCCCCTAAGACATGCAGATACACACACATACACACACATATGCACGCACACCTTGAAAGGTTCTAGCTGCTCTCAGGAATCAAAGGATATCCTGGCAGTATTTGTCTAAGAATAAAGCTTCAAATGTCTAAGCAAGACCACCTACAGTCTATCTGATTGTTCCCTTCAAGGAAGCCAGAAAGAATGTCGATTTAAGAGCCACAAGCAGCAGCTAAGTGTAGTTTAAAAGGAACACATTGGAAACGCTCTCTTTCTGTCAGAGTCACAGTTTGTATGAAAAAGAACACTAGTTAATGTGACTTCAAGAGGTTCCAAACTATTTAAATAGCCATTCGGCTCAGGTACAAAAGAGAAGAGGGCAGGATATAGGATGGAAATGAAAAGACCAACTAAAATATATATAGATATATGAACATATATAGATATATGAACACAAACATACATATGCTCACACATGCACACGCATTCATTGACTCTGTTCCAGCCACACAGGTTTTCTGAGTATGCCAAATTTTCCCATAACACAGATCCTTAGGACTTGTTATATTATTCATGCATGAAATATTTTCAACGTGATTTTTTTCATGTCTGGTTTCTCACTCTTCAATTTACAGCTTGAATGTAATCCCGCCTCTGCTGACCACCGTACAGAAAGCCATTTCCTCTCCCTCCTCTGGTTCATCTCTATCACATCTTTCCCTTCATCTTTATATTCCAAGAACCTAGTGCAGGGTCTGCTTTAGAACAGCCACTCAATACAATGTTCTGTTAATACTGGGGACTCTATTAGATGGGTAATTCTACTTGGGTAATTGATAGTTAACATACGCTGCAATATAAATGTGCATTGGCTATATTACAGGCCATTCTAGGGACTGAATAGAGTATGTGGAAATAAAAGAGTTTTTGCCCTCAAAAAGCTATATCTTGTGGGAGAGGGGGATAAATTGATCAAACCCTGTGGATGATTAGCAATCAAGAAGCACAGAGCTTGGAAAGCCAAGCCAACCTGCATGAGACAGGGAAAATTCCTGAGGCTGATGATAGCCTAGGTGGACCATCTGGGGTTGAGCTAAATAAAAGAATGCTTGGAAGTGCTCTCCAGTCAAAAGAAAAGCAAGCATGCAGCCTTGAAGTCATGATTGTTCTTTGATCTATTTGAAAGTTGAATGTACCTGTACGAGTATGATGATATGTGGGAAAGCAGCTAAACAAAGCAGAACTACATCAATATAAGAAAGCAATATTGTCACATTCATCCATAACAGCAACATAATAAAATTCTATCATCCTTATAATTTAGGTCAACCCTTGTCAATTTGTCAAAGCCTTTTGTATACCATTGCTCTTTATCTATGATTCCACAGGGAAGCAAAAATATAAAGGTTAGAAGGGTGGGCTCTGGAGTCAAATTTCTCTAAAGCCTCCTGGCTGGAGAATCACAGATTTGATCCTCAGTTTCTTCATCCATGATAGAGATTGATCATAATCTTCAGAATTATTTTATGAAGTAAAATAATGCATATGAAACTATTTGTATCAGGAGTGTCATATAATACTCAATAATTACAATTGTCACACTCTTGAAAACATTCTCCACATCTGAGATTATCTACTAAGATTATCTACTAAGAGTAGTATTTCAGAGACAATTTCCTTCTCTACTCAAGAGTATGACACAGGAGGCTCTCCCTGATCTGACCCTGACCATTTCTTTCTAGCTCCATCTCCATCAGTATAACCCCCAGGCCATTCCCTGGACAACTGCCTTAGAGACCGTACAAAATTCCCAGCTACACACAGCCCGATCATAACTTTTCACATTCACACATGTTGCTTGTCCTCTCTGCCTGAAATCCTTTCTCTCATTTGGCCAACTTCTGATTTTCCTTCAAAAATCAACTTGATTCTCACTTTTTCTTGAAATTCTTCTTTAACACACCTTCTCCCCCATCTCCATCTCTCACCTTCATCTAACTTAAATACTTCCATTCTATTCCTATCTGTGGGCACCTCTCACATAGGAAAGGCCAGGCTCTACTATACTTATTCACCTGCCTGGCTGCAGAATTAACTATAGACCTTGTGGTGCCCAGTACAAAACACAAATGTGAAAAAAAGAAAAAAAGACATCATTTAACATACTAAATATAAAGGGTGTTTTCCTTTCTTCCACATCTCTCTTTTGCTTACGTGAATGCTTCTTTGTCCCATAGAACTTCACTTTTGAAAAATTAAGAATCTCGAGACAATGACAGCAGAGGATTCATCAAAGCATAGGGCCCCTTGGGGTAACAGACACCTGTGGGACTCTACTGGTTACTCGCAAAAGCCAGCCCTGCCTTATCCTCCCTCTCTCTCTCTCTCTCTCTGTGTGTGTGTGTGTGTATATATATATGTATGTATATAGAGAGATGTGTGTGTGTGTATATATATATATACGCATACATATATACACACACATACACAGAAAGAGACAGAGGGAGGAAATGTTTATTACACCTCAACAAATCTTTCTCTCTGTATGTGTGTCTGTGTATATACACATATATATACACACACATATGTATGATATCTATATATCTATATATACACACACACAGAGACAGGGAGGATATGGTCATTATACCTTAACAAATCTCTCTCTCTCTGTATGTGTGTGTGTATATATATATACATATATGTATATATGTGTGCATATATATGTGTATATGTGTTTATATGTAAATATATATACACACACACAGAGGGAGGATATGGTCATTATACCTTAACAAATCTTTCTCTGTATGTGGTGTATGTGTGTGTGTGTGTATATATATATATATATATATATATATATATACACACATACACACACACACACAACATATATGTATGTATGTGTGTGTGTATACACATACATATATACATATATGTGTGTGTGTATACACATACATATATACATATGTGTGTGTGTATACACATACATATATACATATGTGTGTGTGTATACACATACATATATACATATGTGTGTGTATACACATACATATATACATGTGTGTGTGTATACACACATATATACATGTGTGTGTGTATACACATACATATATACGTGTGTGTGTATACACACATATATACGTGTGTGTGTATACACACATATATACGTGTGTGTGTATACACACATATATACATGTGTGTGTGTATACACATACATATATACATGTGTGTGTGTATACACATACATATATACATATATGTGTGTGTGTATACACATACATATGTAAAATACACACACAAACACAGAGAGAGTATACATATATTCTGTCCTCAGCACAAAGTCTGTCACATTGCCATCACTCGGTAAAAGTGTTTAACTATTTTTTCTTAGTAATAAAGCGGGGAATATTGAGCCCATAAGCTGGTGCCCAAAAAGACTCTTGATGTTGAAAGAACTGCAGTATAAATAACTGAGCAAATGGATGAATTATTGCTAATTCAGAGCTGTTCCCCCTTTTTCATTCAGTTTGCTTACCTGTTGCCCTCCTTCCTCCCTCTCGCCCTTTCTTTCTTCCTTTGCCTTCCACTACCAATCAGTCTTGACTGGCTGGATCTTCGTGGGCAAACTGAAGAGTATACTTCATCCTTTTAAAAAAATATATTGCCAGACCTCTCGCTGCTAGCTTCAAGATTGTTCACCTCATGTTGCCCACTTTCCCTTGTCTGCATTCTCTGAGGATTTGCATTCAATAAAGTTATGAAAGTTCTATGAAAATCAGAGTAGCATCTCAGATGGGCTCCCTGCTTCTCCTCCTGTCTCCCTACAGGTCACCCCGCCCCTTAAAGAAGACAGAAGGATCTCTATAAGAACAGGAATTGGGGCTGGGCACGGTGGCTCATGCCTGTAATTCCAGCACTTTAGGAAGCCAAGGCGGGTGGATTACTCGAGGTCAGGAGTTTGAGACCAGCCTGGCCAATATGGTGAAACCCTGTCTCTACTAAAAATACAAAATTAGCCAGGTGTGGAGGCACGCACATGTAGTCCCAGCTGCTTGGGAGGTTGAGGCGGAAGAATCGCTTGAACCCGGGAGGCAGAGGTTGCAGTGAGCTGATATCGCACCACTGCTCTCCAGCCTGGGCAACAGAGTGAGACATAGTCTCAAAAAAAAAAAGAACATGAATTGGATCACATCATTCGCCCACTGAACATCTCCAGCAGCAGCGAATCCCTGTCAAACACTTCTCCGGCAAATCCCTGTCCATGGCTGATGAGTTCTACCTGCTTCTCTCTTTCCTTGTCCTCTCTCTTTTCTGTCTCCCACACTGTGGTCATGCTTCCTTGTTCTCTTCTTTTTCCTTAGATCTGCCCAGCTGCTTCTTGTCTCAGGGAAAGAGCTTCATAGGCTTTCATTCCAGTCTCTGCTCTCCTGTTTCCTCTTCACGGAAGAATCTTCTGTTTACTACTCTTTATCTCCTAACCCAGCCTAATAAATAGCACACCCACAACTGTAGCTCTCTTCCATTAGAAGGTGAGTTGTTCATTTGTTTCACATTAAAAGAAAAATGTTAGGTAAGATCAGTCTTGTGCACCTCTGTGCCTCTATACCTAGAACAATGCCTAGCAAAAAGTAGAAACTCTATAAATATATTTTTAAATTTATTAAAAAGGAGAGCAATACAAGTACAGTTGACCCTTGAACAATACAAGGATTAGGGGTCCGAAGCCCCATTCTCCACACAGTGGAAAATTTACTTACAACTTTGACTCCCCCAAAAAACTTAACTAATAGCCTTCTGTGTACTGATAATGTAAATAGTTGATTATCACATATTTTGTATATTATAGACATTATATGCTCTATTCTTAGAATTAAAATAAGCTAGAGAAAAGAAATTGCTATTAAGAAAACTATAAGGAAGAGAAAATATATTTACTGTGCATGAAGTGGAAGTGGATTATCAGAAATAACTTTATCCTCATTGTCTTCACCTTGAGTAGCTGAAGAGGAGGAGGAGGAGGAGGGGCTTGTCTTGCTGTCGCAGAAGTGGCAGAGGCAGAAGAAAATCTATGTACCAGTGGACTCATAAAGTTCAAACTCACATTGTCAAGGGCCAGCTGTACTAAGTAAGCATGTCTCCATGCAAGTGAGCATAGCATTGAACCCTCAGATGAGGTACAGCAGGCATGGGGTCAGGATGGAGGGTGTGGGGGAAGTGGGGCAGGAAGATATAATTACCTGAGGGTGTGACCTTTGTATTACCGGAGTATATGACGGTACCTGAGTGTATTACCTGAGTGTATGACCATCACACTCAGCATTTTCTGTACCATCACATGATCTGCATGAACCTGCCCTTCGAAGAGAGTTCTGAGCACATTTTTGCAAGCCCAGTTAGTCTGGGGCTGTTGGCCTGAAGCATCACTTATAATACAGCAGGAGTTAATGAGCTTTGACTTAAAATTGGTGCTTTACTCCTTTCTGTTCAAAACTGAACGTATGCTGTTCCTTCTGTTTTTGTAACAAAAGTATGGCATAACATGGCAAAACGGAACAAAAGTATAAAATTGTGTAAAATATAAAATAAGCCTTTCTTCACATCCAACCTCCCAACTCTGCCTGAAGCAAAAATTTATAACTTCCTCAGGTGAATGTTTTTAGACATTCAGTGTACACATTTATGTTACTATGCATATAACACTTCTGTTTTTTTTCTTTATGGAAATGAGAGAAATAAAGCAAAGTTATGTAACATCTTTTGATCTTTTTTTCATTGAATTTATTTTAGAATTCTGTTGTAACATTGTATTCACATCAATGTTGTATTTTTAATGACTATGCACCATTCCATGGAACAAATAAAGCACAGTTTACCTTAAAATTTTTCCTGTCGATAAACACGTAAATTAATTCTTCTCTGCCTAAGTTCATTCCAATTATGAGGTTGGATTCTGAATATCAGGGCCATATTGTATCTTCCATTCACTACATCACTTTGGGAAATTGAGTCTTCCCCAGAGTAGAAAGCAAAGCAAGGAATGATAAGGCATGGTGGGGAGGGGGGAGACAAAAAACTGGACCCTAGGCACACCCTTCCTCCATGTCCCTTCCATGTCACCATGACCATCAGTGCAGTAATTGACACAAGGTGTCTAAAATACTCCATCATGTTTGTTATATACCCATTCCATCTACAACATTTTTACTTTTGTCTTTAAGTTGACTTTTTACTCAAATTTATTTCAAAAACAACTTTATATCACCATTGTAACAGCAAACCTGTATCACATGCCATAAATAAACATAATCATAAAAATAAATTCAATGAAAACAAAGCAATGTTATTAAATTCTGTCTAGATGCTGTTGCCAGCCAAAGGCTCTAAGAAAGACAGAAGGGGCCTCAGGCCAAGGGAGGTGTTAATCTCCCTTTTTAATACTCACTAAAAATTAACGATAAAGTGAGACTTTGTTCTCCATTGTGATAAGGACTGAAAGAGAAAGGAAGAGGTCATGCCTTGGGAAATAACAAACTACCCACTTTCTAAAGTCTTTCTCAAGCTCCCACTGTTCCTGAATATTTGAGGAATCAAATATTCCTCAATGTTAATTGATTGATGGTAGTTGAGTTTTTGTTAATATTTTCATTACTTGAGAATCTTCTAACATGTCAGACATAAGTGAATGCTTAGAAACACACTTTTAAGTTTGTTCAAACCCTTTCTATCTTGCTTATCTCTACAGAAAAAGAAGCAGCCAATGGCAACACAATTAGGCTCTCGGGCATTTCTCTCTAGAAAGTCCTTCAAGCCTCACCTGTTTACAATGAACACAGACTTAGGGGCTAAAATACAGTAAGTCTTCACTTAATATCCTCAAACGGTTCTTGGAAACTGAAACTTTAAGCCAAACAACTTACAATAAAACCAATTTTATTATATCATAGGCCAATAGATATCAACAAGACTTAAAAGGTTCCTATGGAATGTTTCCAGTCACAAAACCATCACTAAATGTCTAAAGACCAAAACATCTCTTGTATTAAACACTGAAATAATTGTGAGTTCTACATACATTTTAAAAAGATTAATAGAAACAAGTAAGATAATAACCTACCCAATTATTCCAGTTCAGGGTTGAGGATGGCAGGATTCTAACCTGGCAGTTCAGGGCACCAGGTGGGAACCGCCCAGGACAGGGGGTCATTCCACTGCAGGACACACTCTCACACACATCCACACTAGCTTTGCAATGGACCATTTAGACACTCCAATTCACATAACAATCATATCGTTGGGATGGGAAAAGTAACCGGAAGGAGAGAAAACCCAGGCATACATGATGAGAACGTGCAGGCTCCACACAATGGCCCAAGCTGAGAGATTTTTTTTTTTTCCTCAACCAAAACAATCTTGAATGAAACCAGGTTATTCCGGGACCTGCTGTACTTGGCTGAGGTCCTAGCTCAACTCTTGAGTGGGTCTGTGGCCTTGAGTATAGCACTGCTTTCTCTGGGCCTCGGTCTGCCCTGAAATCGTCAATGGATCCATCATCTGGTGCTGTCCCTCTCTACAGAGCACAATCGATTCTCTCTCCTAACTTAAGTGTTGGCCCTCTAGATTGCTTACTGACCACCTTTCTCCTTCCATCCTACCCTACTGCTTTGTAGAGAATAGATTGATTTTTTTAAATGTGAATTTGATTATGTCTTTTTGTGTTTAAAATCTTTTGATTGCTTTCCTGTGCAAAAACAATAAAATCCGAATTCCTGACAGCATCCTACTCAGCTCTACATAATCTGGCCTCTACCACAGAAGCCTTTGAGTTCCTCTTATACATCTAGTTCTTTCCTACCTCCATCTACCCCAAGGCCTTTGCTACATGCTGGTTTTTATATCTGAATTTCTTTTTCTCCCACATCTGTTCATCCTCTGGCTTTGGGGGTTGAGGTTGGGGGCATCTGTGTTCAAAATATAAGAAACAGCATGTGAAAATCCCCTCAAGTAGGCATCACTTCTGTCTAACTAACCGTACAAAGTGGTCCATTTATGACCATTTCATCTAACATAGACTTCCCCTACTCATTTGTTATTTTCTATCAGCACCTGGTTTGTTTTATTCGCAGCCAATTTCCCATTCTGATGCTTAATTTATCAACCTGCTTACATTCTTGCAGAGAAGGAAGAACCAAAAGCAAGTCACCTTTTCATAAGGGCTGGGATCACGTCCACTGCTGAACTGCCAGTATCCAACACAGGGCCAGGCGTGGGGCAGTTATTTCACACATGTTTACTAAATATTCCAAGGACCCCTTTATGAAACCCAAGGTTCACAATAGCAAAGTCCCCTAACTCCAGTATTTAACAACCCAACTTTCTGTAAGGTTTCTATGGCTCTCAGAAAACTATCAGTAAAATTTAAAATAAGCTCACATAAGGTGGATGTCTCATAAAGTAACTCCTGTCTCCTGCTACCAAACTTGATTCTAAATAAATGAAAGAACAAAAGCAAGGACTAGAAGAAACATATACACAAAAGCATTTTACAACTGCCTGCCTTCCTGGTAAAACATGCTGATAAGGACAGGCCTGGTGCTAGTGTACTTTGGGGGACATTATGACTACACATTTCTAACTAGGTCTACTCATTTGAAAGTGGGCACTTTCATGAAAATGAGCCATAACATATGTTAATTCCTTTCATTTGCAGCAGCTCTTTAGCATAACATGTATGGAGAATGCATATTCCTGTATTATCCTTCTGTTTACACCAGAATCCTGACAACTAATTGTTCTGGTAACACCTTATGCCTTGATCAAAAATGTGACACTATTAAAGGGTTAGCAAAATTGGCTTGCTAGGATGAAAATAAAAAAATGCTTGCAAGATTTAGGAAGAAATAGCAATTAATTCATTGATTTTATCGCAAAAAACTTTATTAGGCCAAATCCCTTCTTTGAAAATGTTACTTTGAAGAGAAGAGTATAAAACAATGTCTTAGTCTACATATTTATTATGCTTTTTTCAAGAAGACATAAAATGGTGCTAATTTGAGAGGAACCCAACTTGTATGTTGATATAATTTATCAATAAAAAATAGAATGTGGGCCGGGCGCCGTGGCTCACGTCTGTAATCCCAGCACTTTGGGAGGCAGAGGTGGGCAGATCACGATGTCAAGAGATCTAGACAACCTTGGCCAACATGGTGAAACCCCATCTTTACTAAAAATACAAAAATTAGCTAGGTGTGGTGGTGTTCGCCTGTAGTCCCAGCTACTTGGGAGGCTGAGGCAGGAGAATTGCTTGAACCTGGGAGGCGGAGGTTGCAGTGAGCTGAGATCGTGCCACTGCCCTCCAGCCTGCGGACGGAGCAAGACTCCATCTCAAAATAAAAAAAAAAGAAGAAGAAAAGAATGAAAAGAATGTGGTTATTCAGAAACACACACAGAGTAGTTCCCTAAATATTCAACTATATAATTAGCTTAATATCACAGAATGTGTCCAATAAGAACACTTAAGAATACATTGCTTCAAATCAAAATTAAATCAAATCAAAATTAAATCAACTAAATCAATGCATTCTAAAATATAGAAATAAACAATGAGCAATTTTTAATTTTAGCACTTAAGTAGAGAGAAGGCTAGAATTCTAAAACAACCACTTCATGCAAAGCCCTGCACTAGAACCTTTACATGCATTAACTCATTTATTAGCTAAAGCAACCATGAAAAATATGAGAGGATAATTTCACTTTAAAGAAGAGGAACATGGGCCAGGCATGGTGGCTCACACCTGTAATCCCAACACTTTGGGAGGCCAACACGGGAGGACACCTGAGGCCAGGAGTTCAAGACCAGCCTGAGCAACACAGCAAAACCCCCTCTCTAGAAGAAAAAAAAATAGCCAAGTGTGGTGGCACACACTTGTGGTCTCAGCTACTCAGGAGGCTGGGACGGGAAGATCCCTTGAGCCCAGGAGTCCGAGGCTGCAGTAAGATATGGCTGTGCCACTGCACTCCAGATAGGGGAATAGAGTAAGATCCTGTCCCTAAAAAATAAAGAGAAGAGGAATGGCCATCTTAGAAGAGATAAAATACTAGTTAAGTCATACAGTTTGTAAAAGGTAGACATGCCAACATATCCCATGTATGGATGATTGCAAATAGTGTGTAGGTTTTATTTCTCTCTTTCCAGTACCACCACATTTCCTCCCAATGTGTTAATGCCGATAATTAGTAACCAAGTGAAAAATCTCATGCTGGGATTAAAATATTCTTATTGCAGGTTGAGTGTCCCTTATCTGAAATGCTTAGCACCAGGAGGATTTGGGATTTCTTTATAAATAATTTGGAATATTTGCATATACATACAGAGCTATCTTGGGGATGGAAACAAAGTCTAAACAGGAAATTCATTTATGTTTCATGTACATCATATACATGTAGCCAGAAGACAATTTTATACAAGATTTTAAATAATTTTTGATGAAACAGAGTTGTGACTGTGACTGAGGTCAGGGGTGGAATTTTCCACTTATGGCATTATGTCCTCTCTCAAAGTTTCAGATTTTGAAGGCTTTTGGATTTGGGATTTTCAGATTAGGGATGCTCAATCTGTACTTATACGACAGTTGAATTTAAATTGAGATTATTTATTTATTTATTTATTTCGTTTGAGACGGAGTTTCGCTCTTGTTACCCAGGCTGGAGTGCAATGGCATGATCTTGGCTCATAGCAACCTCCGCCTCCTGGGTTCAAGCAATTCTCCTGCCTCGGCCTCCCTAGTAGCTGGGATTACAGGCGCCCGCCACCACGCCCAGCTAATTTTTTGTATTTTTAGTGGAGACAGGGTTTCACCCTGTTGGCCAGGCTGGTCTCGAACTCCTGACCTTGGGCGATCCACCCGCTTTGGCCTCCCAAAGAGCTGGGATTACATAAGCAACCGGGCTGGGCCTAGAGATCATTATTTTAAGAACAATGGTTCTTTAACTGGAATCAGGGTTACCTGGAGGGTAGTTTTATGCAAATTCCTGTGATCCACTTCCAAAAAATTACAAATGAATAGAAATTTATGCACATGACTCAAAAACTACTCTGTGAGAAAGAATGAAACAGGTTAAGTATCTGAAGGTTTTTCCTCCTCCTTTCATTCACCCTCGTCTATTGAGTGATGTGTCAAGTTTTTCCCACTCTTTCACTGCAATCTTACAGCTTAGGTAATTATGCCCATTCTAAAGGTGATAAAGGTTCTCTCAAAAGCTGTGAGACCTAGGACAGGTAAAGGGCACAATGGTGAGTCAAATCCAGTGTTACCTGGCTGCAATCACAATCCTCTCCATCTCCAAGTCTTTATCCTCCCTTCCCTTGTAAGCAGAGTATAAAATAACACTATCAAATAAGCAGAATCGATGAAAGAAAAGCCTAGCTTTTAGTATAAAAACTACCATTTAACATTATCTGAATAGACTTTCTGCAGCTTAATTTAATAAATGAGGCATCGTTTTTTAGACTCCAAGCATAATAAACTCTCATTTGCATTGACTGGATTCATAAATTCATGCTGTTAAAAACCTGTTTCTGTCAGGGTTGGCCCAGGCCCCCACAGCTTTCACTCACATTCCAATTCTAAGCGGCAGGAGGGAGTTTGCCGATCACAAGCATCAGCTATCATTAGTTCATTTCCTTTAGTGCTGCTTGAGAAAGCGGCGTGAAGCCTGACAAGGTGCAGGCAGCTCATCTAAAACAAGTTCTCCACTGCTCCCAGAAAGGGTGAGGACATCTCCCAATTTCCCTTTACTGCATATGGATTATTTTTTCTTGGCAAAAGACCATAGCAGAATGCTCAGAGTCCAAGATTCTTGAGATGCACAGATCTAGGGTTTGGATTTACACAAAAAGGAACTGAAATAAAACCTTCTCAGTCAGAGCTTCATGTTTAAGGAGAAACAGAAATAAAAGCGATGGTGTTGGTATGTGTTAAAAAGCCCTATCTCTTTCCCCTTATATGGGCAATAATGATCTGAATGACTCAAAACAAATAGAACTCCCGGTTCTCAGAGTAAGTGCTGTGGAGTGAGGATGGGCATCTGACAGTGAGAATTCTCAGAACTTCGGGAACATAACCAGAAACAAGCACAGAAAACCACTTCAGAAAGCTAACTCCAATGGCAGACCCATCATTGAACGGATTCAGTGTAGATTGAATCTTCCCTTTCTGAATCTTTCTTGGCACGTAGCTGGTTTCTTGAATAGTGCTTACATTTTATTTTGAAATCCATGACAGAATATCCAGAGTGCAGAGAAGCCCTACATGGGCTTATCTATGGAATGTATTAAATAACTTCCGATGCCTCTCCCAGCTCTAACAGACTATTTCGGTCAGTATCAGACAATCATCCAAATATGATCATTTATCTATATAAAGAGATATTAGATATTATATTATTTGCCAATGCATTTCATTCATCAATTTAACAAAGATTTACTGACCATCTGATAGATTCACTGTGTACTGGACAACCGGTGGAATAAGATGTGTATAGTCTCATTCCTGATCCCCTTACTAAATATTGCATTCCCCTTAAGTGTAGTGGCATGAAAATAAATCCAGTGTATGGAAGTAGTTCCCAGGACTGTGATATGAGAGCATCAATCAAGCATGAGCCCATCTTCTAAACAACAATGCTTAGACCCAGAGATAGGTGTGTGACTCAAAGCCACCAATGAAGATGCTTCTTCCCTTGGGGTTGCTATGTGAATGCTGAAAAAGAAATCTGTTCTCTTAGTTTGAAATACTATAATAATGGTAACCTCCTTCGCTGCTATGTGCTAGGCCAGCTGCTCAGGACTTCACACATAGTATCTCTGATCTTCAATATATGTCTTAAAGGCATCTATTATTAGCTCTATATTAAACATGCTCCACAATATACATTACTTTCTACAAGGTCACCCCATTATTAAAATTGGGATGCTGAACTTTTACCTAAGTTAGTAAGATGCCATAATCCATGTACTCTGCATTACACCAAGATAACTTGAGCTTAATGTGCTGATGTAGAAGTCTAGGTAGAAACATTAGCCATGTGATTTAGAAACTTAAAAAAAGAGACTTAGTTTAGAGACACATATTTGTATGTCAGCATGATCCAAGTGATATCCAAACTCAAGGGAAAAATAAGAGAAGAAAATGAAGCAGAAAAATTTAGAGAAAGTTTCTGTTCATAAGTAGAAGTTAAATAAAAGTCATTAAAGGCATAGAAAAATGGGAAACTTGATAATGGTAATTTTTTGACAATGTATATGTGTATCAAAATGTTACATTGTACGCCTTAAAAATATATAATTTTTATTTGTCAATTATACATAAATAAAGCTGAAAAAAATAAAAGAAAAATGAGGAACTCTGTGAGAAAATAAATAACTATTTTCCCTATTCTGCTCTCATGACACAGAACGCTTCTGTGACCAAATGCATGGGGGATTTTCCCCACCCCAAACAAGCAATCAATTCTACAGATTCTGCATCAGGCACCAGCTGGGTGCCTTCTAATTCAACTTAGTTCTGACACCGTCTCCCTGGAGATAGCATCAGACCCCACAGGTTGAGGGCTGAGTCCCACAAGACTGGCCCCTGTCAGGCCTCTGAGCCCAAGCCAAGCCATCGCATCCCCTATGACTTGCACGTATACATCCAGATGGCCTAAAGTAACTGAAGATCCACAAAAGAAGTAAAAACAGCCTTAACTGATGACATTCCACCATTGTGATTTGTTCCTTCCCCACCCTAACTGATCAATGTACTTTGTAATCTCCCCCACCCTTAAGAAGGTACTTTGTAATCTCCCCCATCCTTAAGAAGGTACTTTGTAATCTCCCCCACCCTTAAGAAGGTTCTTTGTAATTCTCCCCACCCTTGAGAATGTACTTTGTGAGATCCACCCTGCCCGCAAAACATTGCTCTTAACTTCACCGCCTATCCCAAAACTTATAAGAACTGATAATAATCCACCACCCTTTGCTGACTCTCTTTTTGGACTCAGCCCACCTGCACCCAGGTGAAATAAACAGCTTTATTGCTCACACAAAGCCTGTTTGGTGGTGTCTTCACACGGACGTGCATGAACGCCCCCACTTCAGATGTCAGTCACAATCCCCAGGCTGTTTTATCTGTGCTTCTGATTGACAGGCTGTATATAAAGATTCCCATGAGCCCCTCCTTGGGTTGATAAATTTGATAGAGCAGCTCACAGAACTCCAGGAAACTACATTTTCTGGTTTAATAGAATATTTTTAAAAGATACCAATGTACATCAGATGGAAGAGAAGCACAGAGCAAGGGAGGTGGGAATGGTTGCATACAGAGCTTCCCTGCCCTCTCTGGGCACGCCACCCTGCAGGAACCTCCATGTGTTCAGCTCTCTGGAAGCTCTCCAAATTCAGTTCTTTTGAATTTTTATGGAAGCTTCATGACATAGGTATGATTGATGAAATCACTGGCCGTTGGTGATCAACTTAGCCTTCAGCCCCTCTTCCCTCCCTGGAGTTTGGAGGGTGGGGTTGAAATGCCTCTGTCTTTCCTGTGACCAGCTCCCACGCTAGAGCTGCATAAGAGCTGCCAGCCACCAGTCAACTCATTAGCATACAAAAAGACGTCACTTTGGAGATTTCAAGGAGTTTAACTGTATGCCAGGAAATGAGGATGAAGATCAAGTATATATTTTACAATATCATCAAAACAAAGCAGTAAGAATTGAAAAAAATTTGAATCTCTAAGCCAAGAAAGAAACTCGAAGATTGGAGTGTATCAACGTAAGAAAAAAATAAACAAAACTTGTAGATATGGCTTGGTTGTGTACTGACCCAAATCTTACCTTGAATTGTAATAATCCCCACGTGTCAGGGTGGGGCCAGGTGGAGACAATTGAATCATGGGGGCAGTTTCCCCTATACTGTTCCCATGGTAGTGAATAAGTCTCATGAGATCTAATGATTTTATAAATAAGAGTTCCCCTGCACAAGCTCTCTTGCCTGCCACCATGTAAGATGTGACTTTGCTCCTCCCTTGCCCTTTGCCATGATTGTGAGGCCTCCCGAGAAATGTGGAACTGTGAGTTAATTAAACCTCTCTCCTTTATAAATTATCCAGTCTTGCATATGTCTTTATTAGCAGCATGAGAACAGACTAATACACTTCTCAACTCCCTGAGGAGTGTTGTGCAAGAAACTCCTATTTTTGTAGTTAGGTGGGTTTTGAATGGGGTAGTGTAATCATCTTGTATTACTCCTAAGGGAAATGGCAGGGCCAGTGAAAAGTTGGATAGAGTCGTGTTGAGATCTACTGTGTAGCTAGAATGCATGTACCTCTCTTCTTCTCTTAGCAAGAAAAATTGTCTTTTTTTTTCTGGGAACACATTGTGGGTGTGTGTGTGTGTGTGTGTGTGTGTGTGTGTGTGTGTGTGTTTAATTGGGCCTGGTTCCCAGAGTTTTCAGAATAACCTTCTCCATGAAAATGTAATTGGACCATGAGCAGGAATATGACCCAATCAAGGCTAATCAAAATCTTTCCATGGAATGACCTAAGAATGCTAGGTAATAATGGACCTAATTTTTCCTATTGTCTTTTGAGTTTGAAAGAGCAGTTGATCCTGTAGGTGCCAGCAACTATTTTACCCAGGTTCTTAAAAGAAGCAGTCTGCATAATGATCTCCACTCAGAGAGAAAAGCATAACCATTACATAGAGAAAAATGCAAAGCTCAGTTAAGGTTTTTATAAGCTTTTACAAACAGAGTTGATTCTGACTTCAAAAGCTACTTTCTCCAAGTAACAGAAAATTCAAGTCTAAATAGCTGAAAATACAAAAGTAATTCTGAGGCTTAGATAACTACAGCTGACCCTTGAACAACATGGATTGGAGTTGCAGGGGTCCACTTATACTCTGATTTTTTTCAATAAATGTTTCACCCACCGAGTGTAACTCTCTGCCTCCCCTTCTACCTCTTCTGACTCTGCCACCCACAAGACAGCAAGAATAACTTGTCTTCCTCCTCATTCTCAGCCTTCTCAACTGAGGATGATGAGGATAAAATCTTTATGATCATCCACTTCCACTTAATGAATAGTAAATAGATTTTCTCTTCCTTCTGATTTTCTTAATAACATTTTCTTTTCTGTAGCTTGCCTTATTGTAAGAATGCAGTATGTAATACCTATGACATATGAAATACGTGTTAATCAACTATTTATGTTATTGGTAAGACTTCCAGTCAAGAATAGGCACTTGTTTGCAGGAAGTCAAAAGCTGCATGTAAATTTTGCATTGTGTGAGGGTCTATGCCCCTAACTCCTGCAGTGTTAAAAGGTCAACTGTGTACGGCTCTTCAGAGTCCTGAATCAGGTGCATGTGGTTATCTGGACATCTTCCCAACTCTTGTTCACAACACAGAGCCCATGGCTTAATAAAACCACATGCACAGTAATGCAAAGGAATCATCCACAAGATGCAAAGAAACCTGGACCGAAAAGGAAAACAAAGTCATGAAAATAGATAAACCAGAGATGTCATATCCTGAAGGATGATCTAAAGAAAAGACCCACAACTTCTGGGTCAGTCTCCAGTTACCGATTAAATTGCCTCAATATTTATAATTTGCAAATCGATATCCAGTCATTCTACACTGACTTAACACTTTTCCAAGAACTACATGTAACCTCATGTTCCCATCTCAAATAATTGAAATGCACCTTAGTTCACATGCTTCCCTTAGACTTGTCCATCAGGTTTGCGTTGTCAGACTCATCATCTAGTGATCACTAACCCTGTGCCTACAATAAACCTTTTGAATGTATGAACAACCTCAAGAGTTTTATAGTGTAGGTCTGATTAGTCCCATTCTGAAATAAATAATCTGAGGCTAGAAAGAGTAATAACTTGACCAATGCATCTAGAAATGGGTCTGACATTTGTCTGTAATAACCCAAAAGGCTATGAACAGCAGAAACATATAAAGAAATACATTAATAAAGTGAAAAAATATATTTAGTGTTCTATGGAAAAAAAAGCTTTTGGAAAAGGATAAAGGCATATGATGAGTTTCAGTAGACATCTGTTAGATTGTGGAATATTTTATTAAGTGAACACAGGCATCCTGAACTATGCTGGTCTTACCATGCAAATGGGAATGGGTACCAACCTGTGTCAGGGAAGAGGGGTTTGAATATATAACAGCATCTGGTTTATTCTGCTAAGCCTAGCAATGCAGGGTGCAGCTGGCTCACATAAATGAGGCACTAATGTAAGCAGGGATGCAATGAGTGCCATGAAATCCAAGACATCCAGTTCTGAATGTTTTGAAACACTTGGAACATTATTTGGCACTGTTATTGTTGGTATCACAGCCTTTGGGAAGCCTAGAAACAGACTCAAAAGAAAGGAAATTGTAGATATCCTTAGATTTTTTAGAAACTTCCAAAACAAACAATAAACTAGATAGCATAGAAAATATAGAAACCGCATCACAGCGAAGTATTCTCTGCATATTTTGTTTCAGCGTCTTAAGTGGTACCGTTTTCATGGGCAGTAATTCTAGGAGCTATGACATCCAAGATCGTAATACCCAGCAGATCTGAGATTGGAGTGAGAGCTCTCAATCCCAATTCCATCTACTTGGGCAGATGGCAAAGTGCACAGAATTTCTCCAAGTCCCCTAGTCCTCAGTGCCCCATCAGCACATTGATTTCCTGATAAGAACATATGGAAGGTTTGGGGAGAAAAGCAAGGTTTTGTATTTTTACACTGAATGTGTTGACAATAAGTTTATGATTCTTTCTGACATGACCTTTAGAGTAATGAATGAATGCTTGTAGGATGACTCTCTTTATAGGAAAAAAGATGTGTATGACCTGAAAATAATAAAAGATGTCAAGTGTATTGAAGTGTGGTACAAAGAATTTCATTTTATCCTCACAAAAGCAGAAGACAGTCTCAAGAAGCCATAAATCTCCTTGTCTTCCTTTACATCATCAAGGTTCAGTAATGGTCCATGGGGTTAGGAAGAAAGTGCCACTGACATTGAAAGAAAGAAAGGAAGAAAGAAAAAAACCGAAAGAGAGAGAGAGAAATGTGAGCATCCTCCTGCCAAGAGAAAGGCTGCTCAGGATTTTGACATTGGAAATCCAAAGGAGGAAATCAATATTGTCAGATATAGAATGGTGGGGTTTAATTCAAGCTCCACCTACTACCCAGATTTAGAACTCTGCTCTTCATGTCTCTGTCAGTCAAATGATGGCAAAGATTATTTCATTTAGGAGGTCTAGTGTATGCCATAGGCTAAGCACAGGGACTGCCATGTAGTATGTAACTTATAAGGAGCACCAATGGTGAAACTAAGTGGGATGTAAATTTTAAAAATGATTAAATAGCAGGAATACAATAGTTTGATAAAAAAATCTATCATTTGTTTGATATTTGCAAATTTTAAAAACATTTTCATTGTAGTAAATAGTGGTTATAAATAACTGAATTCACACATAATTGTTTATTGGTTCAGTGTTCAACAATAGTAGAAAAGATAGATCTGATCCTACACTTACAAAACTGTCCTTTTAAGGATATTCTGTTTTTAAGGGGAAAATGATAGGGCTCTAGAAAACTGAACTCCTCAAGGTCACAAGGCTTGTAAGTGGAAGGACAAAAACATCTAGCCAATGTCCTATGATTTCCATAAGGTTTATGTGCCTACCCAGCTCCACTGAGTGCATGACAGTAAGATAAAGGAGCTCCAGCAGATGCCTGGACTTTAAAGACAATGAGAAATTTGAAATGTGAGTTTTAAAAGCTATAGTTTTCCTTTAACAAATGCAGACAAGAACTAACATAAACATAATTGACTGAAGAGTCAATCTACTGCAGTGCCTGAAAAAAATAACACTCCTTTTCTACTAAAGGCTGCACTGGTAATCCTATGCTTAAGACTTGACTGAAAGTTCCTCAGAGAAAATGCTCTAGCAAAATGTACTGCATACAAAACTTAACACAGGCTTTTATTAGCTGTGCAAATTTGGAGAGGTTGCTTAAACTCTCTGACTCTTAGCTTGCAAAGCAGAAATGAAAAACATTCTGTAAATGTTTCTGTAGTAACACATACAAAATAGCCCTTCAGTACATATAGCTATATTTCAATTGCACATAATTTATTTTAGGAATAGCCCAGGTTGATTTTATAGTAGATCTTCCTCCCTCTCTCTTTCTCGACTGTTCAGTTTCTGAGCCTTCTGATATCTTGGCAAGCCACCACCACTGATGAGTTCAGGTGGGAATTCTAGACCACCAGGAGGAATGAGTACTGGAGGGACCAGAGGCAGAGTTGTTACCAAGCTGTCCCCATTTCAGGATGTAAATATGCTCTCTATGCTAGTTTTTAACAGACTTCTCATTGATTCTATGAGCTTTCTGATATTCTACCACTATTTCTGCTTAAGCCAACTGGAAGTATTTTATTTTGCTACCACCAAAAATTCCAGAAAGAAACAGTATTAAGAAGGACAGTTTATAATTTGGTGATAATTATACTAAGAACACATCAGTGTAAAACCAAGGCATAATGGACTTTGGTGGAGACACTAATTGCAAATCAAAGTTAGAAGAATATGAGCAGTTAAATGGTTCTTAAGCATAATCCCTTGTTATCCATGCTAGTGGTAACTTGTTACTTTCATTGGGGAATTCATCAGCAAACAATACAAACACAACTAAAAAATGCACATTAATCCATTTGAGAAAACAGTGCGGAATGCAGACATCCAGTATAAATATCAGTTTCCAGAATACCTAATAACACATGCAATCAATGGGCTCCTGAACTGCATAATATAAGAAGTCAGAATTGTAATGAAGAGCATACAATCACGGAATATAGGCACCATCTGTCAAAAAATAAATAAACTCTTACTGCTGTGGGATTAAGAAAAGTCCCTTTACTTCTATAGAATTCAACTATCTTTTCCCAGCCATGTGGCAGTTAACCTTCTGAGAAATGCTGGAATGCCAACTTCCTTAAGGCAGAGAGAATACTTTGAGTCTTCAGCTCTAAGCAGTGTCTGGAGCATAATAAATGCTCAAAAGTGTCTGAGTAAGTAATGCAAGAAAACAGGAGGCAGGAAGTCTTGTATTACAAATCTTAAAAATTGTAGGGGAAACAGTACTATAATAAGGAGATATTATTCAACATTTCTCCAAGACCATTTACCTCAAAGACTTCTTCCCAACAAAATTGAAAGAGAAACGATTTCTCCCCATGATTTGTGTGGGCTAAAATATGATGGCTGAACTGTCAATATGATAAATTCTTATCTATAAAAGTGTGAGTCTGAGGTTAAGGGCAATTGAAATCAGTTCAAATGTGATACCTATAGTGAAGCACTTTTCAAGTCTAAAATTGAACAATACACCTCGGGAGAAAGATCTTCTAGAATCCCCATGAGAGATTTGGGGAGGTAAAGTGAATGAATCAAGATAAGTTTCCTTATATGTAAGTCAAGGGAAGAATATTATTTAAGATCACGCCTGCCCATAGCATTCCCATAAGACATCTGAACTCTTAGCTTCTAATATTGGATAAACGATGTCCAAACTGTGCAACCATGGAGAAATTGTATTTATTAATTTCATTTTTAAAAATTTCTTCACAACCACGAAACACAGCTTCTTTAGGCTTATTAAAGAGCTTATCACATGCCTAGCACTACTAAGCATTCAGTACATATCCGCTTTAATGATAGTTTGTTATTTTTACCATTTTTAGGTTTGTGTTGCTTTCTTTCATTGTTGTGAAAGCACAGAATTATGTGAAATGTGCCCAGTACATGAAATAGCTTTTTTTCATCTACATTCATGCTCAGTTTAAGTCCAGAATCTACAGATTTGTAATATCTTTCTCTTTTGGCAAGGAAGCCATACTATCTTTGCCTACTCCAACATTTTCTTCTGCTCTGCTATTAAAATCTTTACAGAACTTCAAAAGATATACCAGCATTTTAGGGAGCATAGTAGCCTCACAGTGCTGAAACACAATGTTCTCATTATGGGTATGCATTTGTGTGTGTATGTGAACCTCTTCCTGCACAAATCACATTTTCCTTAGTCCATTTATTCAAAGCTACGACCTTTCTCCCTGACTATGCTTGCTGAGGGAAGTTACCCATTGATGGTGGCAGTGTTGCTGTTGCCACCATTGCTGTTGCTGATATTGGTAATAGTAGTGGTAGGGTTTTGTTTTTGTATAGCAAACACATTTATCCAAATAAAATGCTTGATGTTTGCTTCAAACTAGTCTCCTGAAATTGAATAATTCTGATTGACTTGTAATGAGTCACATCCTATCAAATTCTTTTTTTTCCTTCATGGTAAATTTAAGAGATTCAAGTTTGACTATTGGCCATCTATTGCATGTCAGGTTCTAAATGTGGCAGTTTCCATGCATTGGTCCCCACTTGACATATGAGAAAATTGACGTTCTGAGACCTTAATCCACTTGGGCAAGCTCGTGTATGTTGTAAGTGATCCAAATTCAGATATTTTTGGCACAAAGCCTATGCTTTTTCCACTAGACCACCCCTCTTTAGCAGCACCTACAAACGGCTACTTACAGTTGATTTTCCTTTTGACAAGGGGAAATTGCATTCCCTGTGTATGGAGCTGTAACACACATGCTGTTTTTGCCTAAAAGCCTCCTCACCTCCCTCCTGCCAATCTTTGCCTTTTAATCCCTGTTTGAGTCTGCAAAGTGGAGAACCGCAGGCAAATATTTATTCACAAAATGAGCCATTTTTTTTCCCATTTCTAACCCATCCAAAGCTGCTCTTGTTTCTCTTTAAACTTTTGAAAAGCAATTTGCTTCTAGAAAGAAAAAAAAAAAAAGCAGAGAGAAATAAAGAATCTCAGCCCAAAGCCAGAGCCAGAAACAACGGGCCAGAAGTAAAAGTCTCTTCTGTAAGGTAGGCACTCCAATAAATTTTGGCTACTGACAATGCACATTTCAGATATTAAAGATGAGACATCATACAGGACTTTTGGGATTGGAGGAAAAGTCCTCACCCCTGGCGGATAACATGACACAGGTGGATTGAAGAAATGTGTACTGGAAGAATATTACTAAGGCCCAGTTCCAGATAGAGTTTGTCATTAAACTGAACTTCTCTCATTGATTAATAAAATAAAAAACTTTTATTTACAGAGCAACATAAATTCTCCATAAACATCAACAGATACTTTGCATGGGTGCCTCAATTCTACCATCTTGCAAACAGGGCAGACATCACTGGTTGATCAAGGCTCTTGATCTTACTGGGCCAGGATTAACCTAGGCATCCTTATAAACATATCTTCTAGTCAGCCTCTATCAACCAAATGTAATAGGCACAGGGGGTAAAAAACCTTTGTGCCAACTCAAACACAGAAGACAGGCAATAAAGATGAGTATGATTTTGTTTTAGGTTTTTTTTTTTTCTAAGATACCATCAGGTTTTTCTATAATGTCAGCCACTGTTCTAATCAGTGAATACTCTCCTGACTTCAGAAATGCTTTAAGACTATCAAATAAGACATGACATTCAACCATTAATGTATTCCCCAAACATTTATTAAGCATGCATTTTATGCCAGATACTGCGATACTTATTGGACAAATGGAGATGACTCTTGTCTGATTCCGCTTTCAAGACAGAGCAATTTACCCCATTTGGAATCCACCTTGTTGAAACTCTAGCATGGAGAAGCGTGCTTTCATCTTTTCTTAAGTACTACTGTATAAGAATTTCACTCAGGCTATGTGCTAAATTTGATCCACTCCAGTCAGAGACAATCAGAAAGTAGGAACTAAAGAATAGGAGTGGAAGGAAGAGCCCAAGAAGGTACCACGGCAACCTTCTAGAAACATGAGGGAAAGCCCACACAGGGTTCTACAGGGAAGACAGGGGCAGAAATATATATTTGGAAGCGCTCAGCACATGTTCTTTGGCTTAGCATTTCATGTAGGAAACCAAGGAGGTAAACCTGGGACTGGAGAGGCAGTGAGTAACTCTATTATCTCACAAATTCAGGGATTCCAAATATGGGACTACAAATTAAATTCAAAATCTCTGTGCCAGAATGGAGGCAGCACAATGTGAATGGTGAAGAACACAGCCCTATTGACGTCATATCTTCCTTCTATTGCTTACCAAGCGTGTAACTTTGGGCAAGTTACTTTAATTCTAATCACCTCATTTTTTTCATATATAAAATTCATCCATCATCATCATATCATCATAGTATCATCATATCATAGTAACATCTCTCTTTAGTTGTTTGCTTTTAAGGGCCCTGGGAGTATTTATAAAGCCCTTAAAATTGGGGTCCCCCATCTACAACCCTCAGGTCAGTTATGATGAATCCCGTTTTTTGTAAATACTATAAAGATTTGTTGGAATGCAACCACACCCACTTATTTACATTCCTTTATTTACATATAATGTAAATGTAAAAAGTTGAGTAGATGCAACAGATCTATGTGACCCACAGAGCCTATGATATTTCTAGAAAACTTTCCAGAAAAGTTTGCCAACTTCTGAACTCCTGGCTTAGAATATGACCTGGTGCATAGCAAGAATTTGTAAATGTTTGTTAAAATATAATGTCAGAAAATAAATATAAAATGCAGATATACTCTCCATTCAAATATAAAATGTCTAAGAAGAAAAAACGCCAGATTTGGAAAGATCTGGATTCGAAGTCAAGTTCTGCAACTTACCAGTTGCATGACCTTAAACAAGTTGCTTCAGTCTCCGGTGGCTCAACTCATCTATACAGAAAATAGGGATAAAATGTTACCTATGCCAAAAATTACATCAAACAATTTTCCCAATATATCTAGAAGATTGCCTGGCACTCAGAAAGAACTTAGAAAGTGTTAGCTATTTGGCACATAGAAACAACTTATGAAGTATTAGCTATTACTATTTCATTCCTCTTGGCAACAGAACCAGTCAGATTTTCAATCACTTAAATAGTGAAGTAAGGACATTCAGAAATTGTTCTAATAATGAATGTATACAGAAACCAATTGTACTGTGTCCACTATTACTATTTTAACATATGATAATTATCCACAATATTGCCTTTATTAAGTAGGCTTGTCTAATCATTTTTTTATCACCATAAAATGTACACAGTCTTGGTTTTCTCAATCTGTATCTCTCAAGAAGGCTTATATTTCTTAGTTCCACGGGCTTCTATTTTGCTTTCTGTAGGAATCTAAAGCTGAACATGGATTTCTATACTCACCATCAATTAAATGATACAGGGAAAGAGTCTCTAGAGTATTGCACAGAGTCAGTTTCCCTGGATATCTCTAAACGTAATAAGGACACAGAGTAATCCCTTCACTTTTTGTAGAGGTTACCAGGGAGGCAGAAAAGTCTTCAAAAAATACATATCTTTTGAGCTGAACCTTGAAAAGAATGTGTGTGTGTGTGTGTGTGTGTGTGTGTGTGTGCGCGCGCGCGCGTGCGCTTGGGGCAGAAAGAGGAATGAGAAAGGGATTCCTGGCAGATGTGGGAGCATGGAGAATTTTCTCTGCATCCAGGAAATGGACAGTAATATAATAAAGAATCTCAGATTATACAATAATTTGCAACCAGAAAATAAATGGTCTTGTCTGTGTTATTAAGGTTTTTAAGGTAAAAAGAACAACAAAATACTTTACAATTCCTTTTTTTCTTCTCCTCCTCTTCTTTCTCCCCTTCCTCACTTCATTCTCTCCTTCCTTTTATCTGAGCATGATGCTGGATTTCAGGAAAGAAAGTCATTATTCTATTTTTATTTGTATTGTCGTTGTCACTGTGCCCCCACCTTCATGAACAATGATTAGCACATAGTCAGTGCGTCATATGTGTTGAATAAATAAATTACCAAATTCAGAAATGTATATATAGCAGATCATTATAACGTAATTGCTGAAGCACATCCTTCGAACTCATATTCCCTGAGCAAGAAACAGAATTCTCTACTCTTTAGCTGTGAGACATTAGGCAATTTTCTTTTTTTTTTTAAGACAGAGTCTCGCTCTATCGCCCAGGCTGGAGTGCAGTGGCGCGATCTCGGCTCAATGCAAGCTCCGCCTCCCGGGTTCACGCCATTCTCCTGCCTCAGTCTCGCGAGTAGCTGGGACTACAGGCGCCCGCCACCTCGCCCGGCTAATTTTTTGTATTTTTAGTAGAGATGGGGTTTCACCGTGTTAGCCGGGATGGTCTCCATCTCCTGACCTCGTGATCCGCCCGCCTCGGCCTCCCATAGTGCTGGGATTACAGGCGTGAACCACCGCGCCCGGCTAGGCAAGTTATTTTAACTCTCTTGAGTTTCAGTTTCCTTACCAGCAGTAAAGGGATGAATAATAATACCCTCTTTGAGTTGTTATAAAGATAACAATGTGTTAACTCGATAAGTTAATGTGTATTAAGCTCTTTAAAAAATGCCAGGTCCATAGACAGTACTCAGTAAACACAAGCCATTCTTAATTCTAGAAGTAATTCTAGCAGTTTTAACTATCTGAAAGTAATTCTCAAGTTTCACAACGTCTGAATCAATGAATTTACTGAAACAAGAATTTCAGACACAGGAACAGAGTCTTAAAAAGAAAAATAAAATAAAACAGCATATCCTTTAGCTTATGAGTGAGCCCAGAGATTCTCTGCAGTTGGTAAGGCATATTTTTATAAAGGAATTTATATACTGCCATAATAGTGTTTCTTCTGCTTTTTGCATATTCACTTTTATCGTGAAAAAGTTTCTACATGTAACATATAAAAGTAAGCTAAAGATTAATACTAAATAATACAAATAATACTAAAAAGAGCATTCATAAATTAATCCAATAAAAATAGAACAAATCTAAAATTTGAAGCCCTGAATAAGATACTGTATATATACATACTACAGCATCCCTGTCTTTCACCAATAAAGGTGTCCAGAATCCCAAATTCTATATTTAAAATGGTTTTTCTTTCTTTAGAGTTTAACCTCATGTGTACTTTTGTGACTTGCTTTTGGCTCAACTCTCTTTTTGAGATTCACCATTGTTGATGCTTATAATTATAGTTTATTTATTTTCGCCAAAGAATGGCAAGGCAATACCAAATCTATCCAATGGAAATTTGAGTTATTTCTATGTTTTTTGTTTTTGTAACATTATAAACAATTGCGACTTGTACCTTTTACTTGAATTCTAGTTCCCATGACTAAGAACGACATTCTAGGACATTTATCTCAGAAGAAAATTACTAGGTGATAGATATAGTTACAGCCTAAATTTTTCTGTCTTCCAAGATAATACCAAATTGTTTTATAAAATGATTTAATTAGTTCACACACTACCTATCAGTTATAAGAATTCACTTTATACGGCATCATCACTTAACATTGTTCAATTTTTAATTTTTACAATTTGTTCTGTGTAAAATGCTGCTTAACTATAAATTTTAATTTGCATGTCATCTTAGTCTGCTCAGGTTTCTATAACAAAATACCATAGAAAGGATGGCTTAAACAATAGATATTTATTTCTCACAGTTCTGGGGACTGGAAAGTCCAAGATCAGGATAACAGCATATTGAGGGCTCTCTTTCTGGCTTACAGATGGCTGCCTTCTTGCTATGTCTTCACATGGCAAGGAGAGAAAGCTCTGGTGTTTCCTCTTTATTTTATTTTATTTTATTTTATTTTATTTTATTTTATTTTATTTTATTTTTTCGAGACGGAATCTCACTCTGTCACCTGGGCTGGAGTGCAGTGGCACCATCTCAGCTCACTGCAACCTCTGCCTTCTGGGTTCAAGCTATTCCTCTGCCTTAGCCTCCTGAGTAGCTGGGACTGCAGGCGTGAGCCCACCACACCTGGCTAATTTTTGTATTTTTAGTACAGATGGGGTGTCATCATATTGGCCGGGCTTGTCTCGAACTCCTAGACCTGGTGATCCGCCCACCTCGGCCTCCCAAAGTGCTGGGATTACAGGCGTTAGCCACCATGCCCAACTCTTTATTTTAATAAGGGCACTAACCCTATCATGGGGGCTCCACCCTCATTAAACCTAATTAATTCCCCAACGCCCCACTTCTAAAACCATCGTAGTGAAGGTAAGGCATCAATATATGAAATCTGGGGAACACAGACATTTAATCCATACACATAATATTAGTGAGTTGAGTATTTTTTTGTATGTTACAGAGAAACACGTTTCTTTTTCCTCATCTTTTGCTCATTTTGTCTTTTACGTTTTTTTTTTTTTAATAGAGACAAGGTCTCACTATGTGTGCCCAGGTTCATCTCCAACTCTTGGGCTCAAGCAATTCTCCCTCCTCAGCCTCCAGGTAGCTAGGATCATAGGCATGCACCATCACACCTATATTCTAATAAACATCGTTTTTCAACTATACATAGCAAATGCTTTCTCTTTGTTGTACTTTTTATTTTATTTTATAATGCCTTTTGATAAACCAAAGTTCTGAAATTTAATGCAGTAAAAATTTTCATTTTAAAGTTTATATTATTTGTTTGTTGCTTAATAAATGCTTCCCTACAGAAAGAACCTAAAGATATTCTCTCATATGCCTTCTAAAACTTATACTTTTTATACTTAAGGCATGAACTTGATTTTTTGCGTATAGTATAAAATAGAAATATTTTTTCCATATAGATAATTTTCCCTGAGCTATTTATCAAATAGTCCATCCTTTCGTCATTGACCTATAGTGCTATTTCTGTTTATATGAAGTTTCTATATATGCATGGTCTTTTTGGGGCCTTTTAAATCCAGGTATAATATCTGCCTGGTTATTACTGAGTGAGTACAACTGTATATATTCCCTTTACAATGACTCTTGATATGTGTTAATGTAGGCACCCATAACTTTTTTTTCCTCAAGAATGTCGGTTTTTTTTTTTCAAATGTAAAGACTCTTGATGATCTTTGCTATATCCTCTGTAGATGGTAAGACTAACATCCCTTTGCAAGGATGATCAGAAATATTATTTGGGAGTTAAATAGCCCTCTAAGAAAGCCATGAGATATTCTAGACCTGTATTGTCTAATATCATGGCCTCTAGCCACATATGTCAAAGAAAATTTATATTAATTAAATTAAATATTCAGTTACTCAGGCTCACTATCTACATGTCAAGTATTTAGCCACAAGTAGCTAATTGCTGGCATAGTAGACAGCACATATATAGAGCATTTCCATCTTCACAGAATGCACTATTGGACAGAACATCCTGATTGAGGTCTTTAATGCAGAACCATCAAAAGAAGTTGGCTGAGTTTCTTTTGAGACGGAGTTTCACTCTTGTTGCCCAGGCTGGAGTGCAATGGCATGATCTTGGCTCACCACAACCTCCGCCTCCTGGATTCAAGCGATTCTCCTGCCTCAGCCTCCCAAGTAGCTGGGATTACAGGCACCTGCCACCATGCCCAGCTAATTTTGTATTTTTAGTAGAGACGGGGGTTTCTCCATGTTGGTCAGGCTGGTCTCGAACTCCTGACCTAAGGTGATCTGCCCGCCTCGGCCTCCCAAAATGCTGGGATTACAGGCATGAGCCACCACGCCTGGCCTGAAGAAAACATTGAAGCAATAATGTTTTTAGTGGATTTTTCTCAACCTTTGCATTACCCAACATTTGGATATTTTTAAATCTCCATATACATACATAATATCTGTATTTCTTTTCCTTTCTTTACTTTTTTTTTTTTTTTTTTTTTTTGAGACAGAGTCTCACTCTTTCACCCAGACTGGAGTGCAGTGGCACAAGCTCAACTCACTGCAACCTCCGCCTCCCTGGTTCAAGTGATTCTCTCACCCCAGCCTCCTGAATAGTTGGGATTACAGGTGCCTGCCCCCACACCTGGCTAATTTTTGTATTTTTAGTAGAGATAGGGTTTCACCATGTTGGCCAGGCTGGTCTTGAACTCCTGACCTCAGGTGATCTGCCTGCCTCAGCCTCCCAAAGTGCTGGGATTACAGGCGTGAGCTACCACACCTGGCCAAATATCTGTATTCCTTAATATGACTATCCTCATTCTAATAAATGAAGATCTAAATGATAATGGAATACTACGTAGAAAATGCATAGTAGACTCAAGGGTAGGTTGGATCTTAAAGTTACCCTGTGCAATTCCTTCACTCCTTTTTTTTCTCTTTTGATCTTTGAATTCCCTGGGGAACTTCTAGGATAATTAATCTCTGATTGTATATACCTGGTGATAAGAAACTCCCTATCTTCTCAGGTTCTCCTTTCACAAGGAAATGGCTGTAAAAGAAACATGGTCTACAATATGCCAAGAAAGGAAGAATGCGCACTTTGAGGGGCTTGATGACAGTGTTGTCTAAGCCATCCCTGAAATTATGAGAACTAAGTCTGAGCAAGAACTGGAGATATGTGTCCAAGCAGTCCTTACAGCAACAGCATCTGGAGGTGATTATGTAGAGCAGAGGAGGGCAGGGAGTCCAAGACTGTATGAAGGTAGATTAGAGAATCAGAATAGGTAATCCTCTAGCTTAATCATGGAGTCTGTGAGACACTGGCTGTGAAACAGCTTTCAAACACATCTGAGTCCTTTTGCCTGGGGAGACCATTTACATTTGAAAGAATCAAGAAGAGGCATCAGGATATGGCATACTATGAATTTCTCTAAGCATCTTAGTGTAGTTTTTCTAGCTTCTCTTTCTGTGACTGACTCTTCAGATACAAACCCCAAGTAGGCTGACCTACTGATTATTCGCAACAATAATGGAAAAACAATGAGAATCACGACTTAAGATTAAGCATTCAAACAAACATCTCCCTCTCCCAACTTCCAAATAGTTAACACAAATATGCTACACAGGAGGAAGATGGTGTCTCCATTGAATTAATCTACTCTCCGATGCTAATTCATAATAAAAAGTTTACAGGAGAATGTATAAAGTGCTAAAAATGTATTGGGTTTTCACTGTGGATCATACAATTTGGAGTCTTCACTCAGTCTTTAAAATAATCCTTAGAGGCCAGGCCCGTGGCTCACACCTGCAATCCTAGCACTTTGGGAAGCCAAGGTGGATGGATCACTTGAGGTCAGGAGTTCGAGACCAGCCTGGCCGACATGGTAAACTCCCATCTGTACCAAAAATACAAAAAAAATTAGCTGGGCATGGTGGCGGGTGTCTGTAATCCCAGCTACATGGGAGGCTGAGGCAGGAGAATCACTTGAACCTGCGAGGCAGAGGTTGCAGTGAGCCAAGAACACACCACAGCACTCCAGCCTGGGTGACAGAGTTTGACTCTGTCTCAAAAAACAATAATAACAAAATGAAATAAATCAAATCAAATCAAAGAATAGTTAGAGATAATAATTTTACCTCCGTTTGGTAGGGAAGAAAGCAGAAGCTTAGCCAGTAGGTAGTGGAGCTGAAATTCAAATACAGGTCTGACTGATTTCATAGTCTCATACTTCTCTCATGACAATATGATGTCAAAAACATGGATCTCCCCATTACTCATATTATAATCGTATGATGTTTTAGATTGGTAAAAAAAAAAACCCAGTCTCTGAAAATCGTTCATCCGTATATAGTTTCTGTTTGGATATTAATACTAGTACTAACAGCTAGCATTTACCAAGTGCTAACTGCATTTCAGGCACTTTGTATGAATTGCCTCATTTAGTTCTCTCAATAGCCTTATGAGGTACGTAATATCATTTTCATAACTTCCCAAATAGGGAAAGTCTAGCTTAGTAAATTATGTTTCTGGTAAATCGCCCAAGCTTCTCTGACTTTATAGCATTAGGAACCCAGGCTGTGACCAATTTATATTTACTCTTAGAGAATAAAATTTTTTGTTTAACAAAAATGTATCATTGTTACAATACTCAGAATACTCAGGACATTACTGTTATTTTCCCTTTGTTCTTCTAGAGAAGAGCTGCACTTTCCTATCTATAGAAAATTATTTTAAAGGCAAAGGGAAACTCAAACATAAGAAGTTATATTTTAAAAAATAACAAAACACAAAGCCTAATGCAGTGCCCAAGCAACACTCCGTACAGAAAGATCTTTCCTAAAATTTTAACTGAATATTCTACAAAGGATTATCATCTATAGAGAAAAAACTCCACATGAACAGAACTATAGTCAGGGACAGAATTAATATGCAAGTCAGCTATTCACCTAGTGGCATATACAAAATATGACTTTCTATCCTTGATTAAGCAGGTGCTCTTTAAACCAAGCCCTGCATTTTCATTGTAAATATTCTAGTAATAACAGTATAAAACCACCCCTGATAACACAGCAGTTAGTGATGATGCCAGCCACTTCTCAGGGCCAGTCTCCATGAGCTGCAAATACCAAAGCAACAGCAACAAACAAAAACAAACAAACAAACAAACAAAAAAAGGTACAAGTTCAGATGATAGAGGATCCTTTACTAAATAAACACAAAACCTACCAAATTACAGGAAAAAACAAGTTTACTATGTTTGTTATAACACAGTTGGATGGGAAGTTTTTAAACTGATGTTTTGTTATTAATTTAAATAATAAGTGAATCCTTTGAGACCATCATTCATTGACAACTTTTAACTCTGTGGCTCAAACTCCTTTAAAATTTTGAAATGTTATCCAGGAAATCCCAATCTTAGGCTAAGCAGGAACATAAAGAAAGCTGTTGAGGCCAGTGATATTCACACACGAGATCACTGCATCAATATAATTTCACTCCAAAAGGAACTGGCTTTTTTGGCAAGAAAAAAATGAGAGGGTCAGGGTACAGGCAAGACTTGAATAGAGTTCCTAAAAACACAGTAGTAATTTTTCTTTGGTGTGTATTTGAGCTCACATACAGAAAGTTCCTTTGATTATGTGAGACTTGCAAGAAACTGGAGACTTCTGCAACCCTTGGAAGTTAATTGGCTTAGACACTAGTTCTAACATCTTAGTCAGATGGAGAAAGATAAAATAGATAGATGAAAAATAAAAGGGATGCTGAAATTTAAATTTCACAAATTTGTATTCTTTGGCAAGGGTAACGACATGCTTTTGGTACATTGTTATTTTTTGACAAAAAGAGTGATTCAAAATATTCCAGATAAATCAATACCATGACTGATTGAAATGAGTTTTCCCACACATGGAGACTGGCTAGTGGCAAAGTGCTGATGTTGAAGTTTGGGCAGCCAGTTTTGAGAAAATGGTAAACTCTCAAGACATGGGGAGACATTGAGATTCACCGTAACTTCAACTTGGTGCCCTAGAAAAGGCAGAGCATCTGGGCCCTGGAAGAACAATATACACATTCAGAGATAAAACCAGTGCCAAGGGCTCCATCTCAAGTCTCCTGGAACATGTTTTTCAGATACTTGCTTGTGTAGCCAGAGCCTCAATTTCTGCAGCTGCAAATTGGTAATGTGTTCAGACTGCCATCCTTAGCTCCTATGATTGATCAGGGAGGTGATGAAATAAATTAACTGTACTGAATTGCATTAGAGTCTAAGGAATGAAAAACATGTGCTTGTTAGTATTCTTTCCTTTGTATTCCTGCTCAAACAAATAAGCACTCTACAAACATTAATACTTTCCCATAATTCATTGAGATTACGCTAAGGGTACAATTTTATTGTTAAACTTAGGATCTTAAGATATTATATAACTTGTCCAAGCCCGTGAATTTTGTCTTTGGGAGAACCCAGAATGCAAACTTCTGTATTCTTCTTCTAATACTCTAAAAAGTAAATATCACATGCTGATTGGGATCCAGCTAGATCTCCACAAATGGACAAGAATAAGTCCAATTCCTGTACTTCCACTTACTGAGTCTTTGACTAGAAGCAATGTACACAATCTCTTTAAATTAGAAGATTAACTGATGTGTACTATTTTTTTCTCACCTTGCAGATAAAGAAACAAAAATATGATGGTTAATATGGTGTCTGGCACAGTGCGGTAGTAATCATTAAGTTCTTACAGAATGGATGTTGTTATTACCTATTATAACAGATTAGAGAAAGGGCCTCTAAGCTAGGTTATATTAGTTACTAACAGGTATTCCACTTATCAATGTACATAGTAATAAGATTCTTGAAGAAGTCCTTTTTTTTTTTTTTTTTTTTTTTTTTTGAGACTAAGTCTCACTCTGTCACCCAGGCTGGAGTGCAGTGGCACAATCTTGGCTCACTGCAACCTCTGCCTCCCAGGTTCAAGTGAATCTTGTGCCTCAGCCTCTGCCTTGGCCTCCCAAAGTGCGTGTATTTTAGCTCAAGTCCTCTTAATGTTCATATAAAGCAGAGGCATTCCTATTTTACAGGTAAAATCTGAGACCAGGCACAGTGGCTCGTACCTGTAATCCAGTATTTTGGGAGACTGAGTTGGGAGGATCCCTTGAGGCCAGGAGTTTGAGACCAGCCTGATAAGTATAGCAAGACCCTGTGTCTACAAAAATTATTTTTAAAAATTAAATAATTTAGCCAGTGTGGCGGTGCACACCTGTAGTCTCAGCTATTTGGGAAGCTGAAGTGGGAGGATTGCTCAAGCCCAGGAGGATCAGGCTATAGTGAGTTATGATCATGCCCCTGTACTCCAGCCTGGGTAACTGATTGAGACCCCGTCTTTAATAAAAGAAAGAAAGAGAGATGGAACGAAGGGAGGGAGGGAGGGAAGGAAGGAAGGAAAGAAGGAAGGAGAAGGAAGGAAGGAAAAGGAAGGAGGGAAGGAAGGAAAAGAAAGAAACAGAGAGAGAGAAAAAAGAAAGAAAGAAAGAGAAAGAAAGGAAGGAAGAAAGGGAGGAAGGAAAGGAAGGGAGGAGAAGGGAGCTGAGAGTGTCAAGTGCAAAGTTGCACATTAGTTGAATATTAAAGAGTCAGAATTTGACTCTCACCTCTGTGACTCCAATATCTTCACTAACAATACTCAGCTATAAATCATATATGCATACCCTAAACCAACTTGGCACGTTTGGGAATCCAATTTTCTCCAAACTGCCAGAGTTAGCGTCTCTAAGTCATTTTGGGTAAGCAGGGGCGGAAGGGAAGGAAACTCACATCTATTAAGGTACTACCATCTGCCACACAGAATGTGAGGCACTTTTGTGTGCTCTGTCTGTACTACAGATTTTCCTTTTTGTGAACTTCTGCTCTCATTTCCCCATAGAAACCAAAGGCATCAGGAATGTAAGTGATCGTAACCTTCAAGTTGCTCTTAACACCTAATGCAAATGCGTAAAGGACTCAACTTAGGCAAGCAATAACATGACTAAATTTCTGTAGCACAGGGGAAGTTTACAAAATGCTTGCACATATTTCACTTCACATACTACTTAAAACAAAATTTGGAGGCAGATGGAGAATACATCGTCATCTACTTTACAGGTGTGAAACCGAGTTTCTTGCAGAATAAGAGTTTTGTGCAAAGCAACACAATTTAGGGACAAAGATCATGCTCAAGCCGGTGTGCCCACTTCGTTAAGTCAGAAAACTTGGAAGTTATCCAAGATCTCACTCTCTCTGTCTCCCTGACTTTCCCCTTTATCGCTTGCCTTCGATTCTTCCACATCTATAATTCTGGAAGAGTTAGCAGTTCTCTTTTCTAAATGGAACTGAGAAGATAAAATGCCACCACTCCCCAACCCACCCAGAGACTGGAAGAGGTGGCAACTGGTCTAATCTGATTGCTAAAACTGGTCATTTTGAAACTTTGTACTACTTTGGAGAAGCAAGTTGCTCTGATCAGACAGCGGGGGATTTAACACGTTGTTGTTGTTGTTTAACTTGTTGGCCAGATAATGTAGTGAATCTATCCCCTGTAACTTCCTGCTTTCTGCACAATACATGCTAAATCTTTGTGTGTGTGTGTGTGTGTGTGTGTGTGAGAGAGAGAGAGAGATTTTTACAGGAAATAAGTAAAAGGAAATGTACTCTTTTTTGGGCTCTGCACTAAGGTGAAGAAGAAAGTACCTTTAATATGTGGTTCAGAGATAACCCAAATGTCCAACAATGATAGATTGGATTAAGAAAATGTGGCACATGTACACCGTGGAATACTATGCAGCCATAAAAAATGATGAGTTCATGTCCTTTGTAGGGACATGGATGAAATTGGAAATCATCATTCTCAGTAAACTGTTGCAAGGACAAAAAACCAAACACCGCATGTTCTCACTCATAGATGGGAATTGAACAATGAGAACACATGGACACAGGAAGGGGACCATCACCCTCTGGGGACTGTTGTGGGGTGGGGGGAGGGGGGAGGGATAGCATTAGGAGATATACCTAATGCTAAATGACGAGTTAATGGGTGCAGCACACCAGCATGGCACATGTATACATATGTAACTAACCTGCACATTGTGCACATGTACCCTAAAACTTGAAGTATAATAATAATAAAAGAAAATGTGGTTCAGAGAATAAAAAATTCAACGAAGTCAAGAAATTAAATTCCCTTGGATTCAGTCATTTAACAACATTTACTAAATATCTTCTCAGGAAGTACTGGATATAGCAGTAACCAGAAAATAAATTCCTTGCCTTCAGATAGCTTACCTCCTGGTGTCGAACACGGACATTTTTTCTTCTTTTTTGCTTTTTACCTTTGAGACAGGGTCCTGCTCAGTTGTCCGGGCTGGAGTGCAGTGGCACAATCATGGCCCACTGCATCCTTGACCTCCTGGGCTCATAGGATCCTCCCACTTCAACCCAAGTAGCTGGAACTACAGGTGCAGGCTGCCACACCTGACTAATTTGTGTGTGTGTATGGAGGTGGGGTCTCACTACGTTTCTCAGGCTGGTCTTGAACTACTGGGCTCAAGCAATCCTCCTGTCTTGGCCTTCCAAAGTACTGGGATTACAAGTGTGGGCCACTGTGCCTGACTGACCCAAAGACAGACTTTTTTTAAATATGCATGTATTGGGCTCAAAGAAAATTTTTCTATGTATAAAGTGACTGCAGAAAGCATCTGGATTTCATAACTCACTCAGGTTAATTCCCTCCTTTTCATATAATCTGTCACCATTATCTCTAACTTTAATCACTAAAGACATTAACTGAAATTGGAGACAGCACTCCCTCCCCTCCCTTCAGTTTCAGCCTTTCCTCCAGCACTCTTTATTTATTTATTTATTTTTGAGACGGAGTTTCACTCTTGTTGCCAGGCTGGAGTGTAATGGTGTGATCTCGGCTCACAGCAACTTCTGCCTCCCGGGTTCAAGTGATTCTCCTGCTTCAGCCTCTTGAGTAGCTGGGATTACAGGCATGTACCACCATAATTTTTTAAATGTTTGCAACAGTAATCTTTTTTAACTCTAAAATGATTTGTTAATTGCAATAGTAGTAGTAATGGCAGTAAATACATATGATAAAATAAAAAATAAAATATGTTCATGTCAAAAGAATGTCAAATAGTAATAAGAAAGCAGGCAAAGCAAAAAGTCCCCTAACACAGCCCCCTGTCCTCCAGTTCCTCCTTCCAGAAGCAACTACTGTTATCAAGTTATATTTTATGTGTGTTCATGCTTGTTCATTTGTCTATACCCAAGGAAATATTTTATGCACACGTAAGTATACACAAATGCATGGACTCTTCATTCTTCTGTGTACACAAATAAAAAAAATTCTGTGAACACTATTCCATATCTTGTTTTAGAGCTAGTTCATAATATATATATAGCACTGACATTATTTTCATAGCTGCATAGTATTTTAAATAATAGATATATCAAAATTTATTTAAGCAATCTTAATAGAAATGTAATCCCATTACTTCTTTATTTAAAATCTTCAGTGTCTGGCCCTCTGCTCCCATCACATACATGGTAAAGTGCAAACCCCTAAGAATACCACGCAAAATTTCTCATGGCTGGGAAGTAAATAGCGATTAAGCTGTGGGGCTAAGTATATGTCTCCATAGTATTACATGTTCTACTGCTGCTGAACTGTTTGCCATTTTTAAATTGCATTCTTGTTCCCCTCATTTGTGCCATTCACTCTTACCCTTTCCTCTTGAGATATGTCCTCCAGTGTAATAAATCCCATATTGTATTCAGAATTCATTTTAAATTTTGCTTCTAAAAAGCTTACTTTGATGGCAGGTTCCAGGTGTAAATTGAGTCAGGCACTACTACCATTAAGTCTGCACAACAACCATTATATTGCTAATTGAACTGTATTGAGATTGTGGATTCCCTTGATTGTCTCCTCTAATTGAGTGTAAATTTCCTTAGACATGAGGAATGGGCCCTATTAATCTCTGTATTGAAGAACGTAGCACATAATTTACCTATTACAGGCCAAGGAAAATTTGTCGAATGACTAATTGAATGTAAAAAGCTTTATGACTCTCATCTGATGTTCTCTCTGCTACACACAACAGCTACCAAAATAAAACTATTTGGAGGATATGTTAGATCACTGGTACTAAAAGTGTGGTCTTCAGACCAGCATTGTCAGCATTGCGTGGGGACCTGTCAGAAACACAAATTCTGTCCCACCACAGAGGTACTGAATCAGAAACTCTGAAGTCAGGCCCACTGTACCTGCTTTAACAAATCCTCCTACATGATTCTGATGCTTACTGCGCTTTCAGAACCACTGCAAGAGAACATATTTCTCAATTCTTGTTTCTCAATCCCCCTGCAAATATTTTTGCTCTTCACGTTAGAATCACTTATCAGGAAAAACAGCAAAATATCACCACTGCTGTTCATGTTTCCTTGTACAATTTTATTGAAGTTATAACTGTGTCCCACAATACTTAGTTTCTGCTAACAAACCTGCCTGAAAGTTAACTCTAAGTCCCGGGGAGATTAAGAAAAATGAACCAAATTGCAAACAGGTGATTACTTGTGTGAAATCATGCTAGCTGTCTTGTTCCTAGCCAAGGTACTCGCAGGTAAAATTTTATTAAAGAGAGAACAGTCCTAGTATACATACAATGAAAACATTCTCTTTTATAAGACATAGAAATTATTTCTTGTGATAGAAGATTATAAATTAGACAACATCTCAGGACTGGACTGACCCAAAGCTATAATAAAGAAGGAAGGAAACACAAAACAAATTGTTTAGAGGCTACTAAAAACAATTACTGTTTTGCACAAAAGATCATCTAATTCTCAGATTCTAAAGCAATAGATCGGCCTGTCTGGGGAGCAGGCATGTTTGCTGTTACTTTCACTTTTTTTTTTGAGATGGAGTCTCATTCTGTCACCCAGGCTGGAGTGCAGTGGCACGATCTCGGCTCACTGCAACCTCAGCCTCCCAGGTTCAAGCGATTCTCCTGCCTCAGCCTCCCGAGTAGCTGGGACTACAGGCATGTGTCACAATGCCCGGCTAATTTTTTGTATTTTTAGTAGAGACAGAGTTTCACCGTGTTAGCCAGGATGGTCTCAGTCTCCTAATCTTGTGATCTGCCTGCCTTGGCCTCCCAAAGTGCTGGGATTACAGGCGTGAGCCATGGCTCCCGGCCTACTTTTACTTTTTATGTGTCTTATTCTTTACTCGGATGAATTAGAACAGAACAGATTCCATTAGGCAGACCAAGTGCCTATAATCATATGTAATAATGTTTTCTCATTACTGTATAATTAAAAGTAACATACATTTTTATTAAAAGGATGAAGGAAAAATTGCTTTCAACTTCACAAGCTTACATCTCACCTGCCCAACTCAGTAGATATAATCCATCCACTCTTGGTCTTCTGAACCACTTTCCTCCTACAAGAATGTATGAAATCTTCAGATGGCTCATACTGATCCTAATCCTATGTGAAAGTTTCCTGTGTTTTTAAATCATGCTGAAAAGATAGTCCGGTTAGGCAGCTTTAAAGACATATGTCTCCTTCGCCTCCAGACAAAGAAGAATAAACCTAATTCATCCTTGCAGATAAATTCATCAAAACTCAAGGCCAGTGGAAATGTTTACTAGTGCCTCTTCTATTTCGTAGCTTAGAATATCTGAACTAGAAGAGACCTGACAGGTCATCCAACCCAATCCCCTGAAGCACAGATTAAAAATAACAGCATCAAGGCTGAGGTTAAGTCCAGGATGAAAGAATCATGCCTTGTAATTGAGCAACACAGTCTTGACACCGTCATTGCAGGGAATGGCAAACTCTGCACATGGGGACAAATTCTGCCCTCCTCGGAGAATGAATGCAACTAAAAATTATTCCCAACCTCTAACCAGGTGAAGCAAATTCATGCTCTGGCATTTTCCCTTCTTAAAAGAGCATTAATGTACTAACTCATCACATTTAAAGGTGCTCATCAACAATAGGTTTTATTTGAGAATATATGTAATCGTATAATATTGACATTCCATAAAGCTACGGCAGCTTTCATTCTAAATTCTGAAGTTTTTGCAAAAACAGGGACCTAGATAAGATGGTCACCAAGAAAAAGACATTTTTACCTAAACCCATGGTTCAGTGGTAATTCAATTAATAAAATGATTTTCAAAACACAAATTAAATTATATTATATCAATCAGGATAGTTTATTACATCTCTGATTAGGTCTACAATTTATTTATTCATTTATATTTATTTTTTGTAGAGGTGAGGGACTTGCTACATTGCCAAAGCTGGTCTCGAACTCCCGGGCTCAAGCAATACTCCGACCTCACTCAGCCTCTCAAAGCGCTGGGATTACAGGCATGAAACACCATGCCTGGCCCAGGTCTACAATTTAAACAGTCCTGAAATATTGAGTAGTTTAGCATTTTGTTTTCTTTCATATATGAGGTTAATACACTTCAAACAAGTATTTCATGACCACAGAATATTGTGTGTATGTGTGTGTGTGTGTGTGTGTATGTGTGTGTTTAAGTATAATCCTTTTCTGAGGAGTGTTTTTTTAAAAAAGAATAATTCTTCTCCTTTATCCTAAGATTCAGATTTTCTCTAAAAAAGTCATAAAGTCATAATTTTAATGTTATTTCCAAGCCACCTTAACTTAAAGTCTCTCAGAGTCCACTTTGCTGATGTGCCAGGAATTCTCACAATATTCCGCAATCCTGCCTTATGGTACACTGTTTGAAATAAAATAAAGATGTTCTATTGAGAAAAGAACGTAATGCATATTTCTTTGAAGCCCTGCCTGTATCATTTTGCACATGCCATCGAAGAGATCCCATATACTAGTTGTTTATCTAGGCCCTTAAAGTCTATACACTGACTCTTATACTCCTATATTTTCTCTTGCTCCTACCATATTTTTATCCTTCCAGAAAAACAACTGTGAAATGATCATGGACTTCCTTACAGTAGAATGCCAGTTAATAAATATAGAAGGAATATGGAGATTTTTTAAAATCACGAATTAATGCTAAAACTATTGGATGAAAGTCTAATGAGAAATAGAATTGTCAGAAAGTATCTCCCCACAAATTACTTATTAATAACAAAAGGGAAAATAGTAGCTTTGCAGAAGAAAGCCCTGACAGACACCATCTCAACCAGGTAAGCAAAGTTAGCATCATCAATATTGAGATAAACCAACCTCACGTAACTTGTGATATGGTGCCCTTAGAAAACCGCATCACTTCTACAGGGTTTTTGTTAAAAACGCCTAACTTGTAGTACTCACAAGGGAATATCAGATGCAAAAATCTAAAAATGTTCCACAAAATAACTGGCATATAAACTCCAAAAATACAAATTTCAAGAAAGTCTGTGAAATTGTTCCAATAAAAGGAAACTAAAAAGATATGACAATTAAATGCAGTAAGTCATCTTGACCTGTACCAAGAAATACAAATATCTATAAACAGCAATTTTAGAATAACTGACAAAATTTTTATGAATTATGGATAGAATAATAGTATTGTGCCAATGCTACATTTCCAGATCATAATAATTACTCTGTGGTTAGAAAATACATTGAAGTATTTTATGGTAATGGAAAAAAATATCCCCAACTTGCTGGAAAAAGGTTTAGAAGAAAAATGCAATATGCATGAAAAGATAATTAGGAAATGATAAAATGAATGAAGCAAAATTAAACACTTGATGAATATGGTGAGATTCTTGTATTATTATTAATATATTGTTATTGTTGGAAATTTTCTGTAAATTTGAAATTATATCCCAATAAAATGTGGTCTTCTATGGTAAATAATAATTAAAGCACTTCATCAAATATCTGCAGGTGTCTTTTTCCTTATTTGACAGGTGAGTAAATGGAGATTCAAAGAGATCAGGTTATTTGCATAAAAGCACATGGCTAGTTGGTGGAAGAATTGGGTATTTTAACATAGGACTGTTTGCATCCAAGACTCTTCGATCTAGCATACTGTCTTCCACCAGGTGCCCTTGATTCAAGACACAGAGAAAGCTGATATGGACTTCAATGTATCTTTTTATTGCTTCTTCCTCTGAGATGTACCTAAGCTCTCACCTTGTAATTAAACAAGTCATGCCCACTATATGTTTGGCATTACTGAGAATGCTGAGTCACCCAACTTTAGCCCATGGATCAAAGGACCTCTGGGATGGGTAGTAGCATTGTCATCCAGAAAAAAGCTACTTGTCAACTAGAAAAGATATTCAAGTCTCTGCTTCCTCCATTCACTTTCTTGATCTTCGAAATAAAACTGAGTTGCTGATTCCAAAGATCATTTTCTCTGTAAGACTAGATATTTTATTCTAATGACTTACTGAGCCAAAAGATTTAATAAAATCAATACAGAGGGGAAAAAAAGGACTCAGATCTAAGAAATTGGAAGGATAGATATTATATGGAAGCTCAAACTAAGATACTGGGCATGACAAAGCAGATAAGATCAGTTAAGTACAAGAGTCTCATTAGCAAACATAACTAATACACAGCTTTAGAAGGATGAGAATTTAAATGATTAGTGATGCCTCTTCATTATCTGATTATAAACAATCATCAGAAGAGTAAGGATAATAAAGAGAGTAGCTTTCATCCACTAAGTGCCTACTATATGAAAGACACTGCTAGGTACTTCTCATGTATTTACTGCCTCATTTAAGCCAAAATATAAAGATTACCAAATATTTTACAGATGAAAAATCTGAGCTCAGTGATGTTGAGCTTACTTGTTTATGTTCACATGGATTTGGATCTAAAGCACAACTCCACCACTAATTTTGCTAGGGTTTCACAGCTTTTGGAGACTGGAGCTATTAAAAAGGAAGATTGAGATTTAGAGGCAGAAACTCAGAGTAAAAGGATCATGAAAATCATGGAAGTCACAGGCTACTTCCACACAGAGAGCACGAAGAATGAAACAAGGCTTTGGAGCTAGATAGATGAATGTTAGAGTTCAGCAGATACAGAACAGTCTTCGCAATGCTGGAAAATTTACCTAACCTCTTGCAGTGTATCAGTTTCTTACAATGCAGTTATAATAACATCTAACTTTTAGGTTTATTATGAAAATTAAATGAGATAATGGGTGTAAAGTGCCAGGTAGTGATTATGACTTTAAAGGACCCTGAAAAATGTCATACACATGCATATCGCTTTCCGTGTGTCTCTGATGTTTATATTGTGCTCACTGGGGCATGAAAAGACGTGAGTTAAATGTTCTTTGAAAAAAAAAATTATAATGAATTCCCCCCTTTTTTATTTTACTTTAAGTCCTGGGATACATGTGCAGAATGTGCAGGTTTGTTACATAGGTATACATACATGTACCACGGTGGTTTGCTGCACCTATCAACCCGTCATCTAGGTTTTAAGCCCCGCATGCATTAGGTATTTGTCCTAATGCTCTCCCTCCCCTTGCCCCCCGACCCCTGGCAGACCCCAGTGTGTGATGTTCCTCTCCCTGTGTCCATGTGTTCTCATTGTTCAACTCCCACTTATAAGTGAAAACATGTGGTGTTTGGTTTTCTGTTACTGTGTTAGTTTGCTGAGAATGATGGTTTCTATCTTCATCCATGTCCCTGCAAAGGACATGAATTCATTCTTTTTTAGTATTCCATGGTATATATGTGCCACATTTTCTTTATCCAGTCTATCATTGATAAGCATTTGGGTTGGTTCCAAGTCTTTGCTATTGTAAATAATGCTGCAATAAACATATGTATGCATGTTTCTTTATAGTAGAATGATTTATAATCCTTTGGGTATATACCCAGTAATGAGATTGCTGGGTCAAATGGTATTTCTGGTTCTAGATCCTTGAGGATTCTCCACACTGTCTTCCATAATGGTTGAACTAATTTACACTCCCACCAACAGTGTAAAAGCGTTCCTATTTCTCCACATGGCTTAAGACAGCTCATGCTGCATCTTTTCTGAGTAGACTGGCTTTCAAAATGTTGTGAGAAAAAGCTAGAATAAAAAAAAGCATGCATCTATTTAGCATCTACTAGTGTTAGATGGTTTTATAAGTTCTAACAGAAATGTTACACAGATATCTCAACTAATAAACATTTACTTTGAACCCACAGTCTGCCAAAAACTGACTAGAAAGGAGATGCTGAAGGCATAATGATATACAGGAAAGATAAAGCCTTTGGCCAAAATGTTGAATTGAAGTTTTTCTCATTTCACTGAGCTGTTTCTTAATATGGTTGCTGATAAAATTTAACATGTTATTTTCTCATGTAATATCAAATTCAAATTTAGTGGTGTTTGTAGTAGTATTACTACTAGTATTAGACACTGTAGTAGTAACACTAGCAGTAACTATAGTTAACAATACTTTATTAATGAATAATAAAAATTTGCATTATCATTATAGTTAACAATTACATAGCACCATTATGTCCTATTCTAAGTGCTATCTTTCTATCAACTCATTTAAGGTATTCAACAATGCTAAAAATTTGAGTGACTTTCCAAGGTCAAATAATGGTAACTGCTGTTCATTGAGGCTAGAAAATATTTGGGACTCATTCACGTAGATAATGAAGACACAAATTAGGGGAATGACTGGTCTAGTTTTGAAATTCAGAAACGTGATTCTGATGCAACAGACAAAGCCGACTGGAAGAACAGATTTGACCACCTACATGGAGAAGATTGGACTCATAATTTTCCACTCCCAATCCTATGTTTAATAGGTACAGTTAGAGTTAATCAAATAGCAACTCATTCAAGATGGAATTTTCACTTCATCTCCTTTACTTAGGATTTCTGGGTTGGGGTGAAGAGATGGATATTAGGAGTCCTAAGAATAATTTAAGCCCTAAAATTCAGCTAATCCAAGGCAACAGGAGACCGGCCCTTCAGTACAATAAGGGTGTGTATGTGTGGATATCAACCTGCTCTAAGTATTTCTTTTCAGGCTACCTCATGGAGACAAGTAGCCCAAGGTAAATACACAAGCTATACATTCCACTTTTGACTGGAGGCTTAACTTGTCAGTGATAATGATTTACATAGCGATCTTCTCCCTTCCTGCCTAGAAAGTTGCACTAGCTTCAAGCTATGTGCTCTGTTAAAGAGTCATGGGGAGAGAAATCCTTCTTACTTCAAACCGGTTTTTTATTATTATTATTATGCTTTAAGTTTTAGGGTACAGGCGCACAACATGCAGGTTAGGTACGTATGTATACATGTGCCATGTTGGTGTGCTGCACCCATTAACTCGTCATTTAACATTAGGTATAACTCCTAATGCTATCCCTTCCCCCTCGCCCTCCAAACTGGTTTTGACTGTGAATTCTTTTCCAGGAGTAATGTGAGATCTGGATAATGTAGGTGAACTGGTAGTGATGCTGTGGTTGCCAAGAAGACAAGTAGATAAGACAAGTAGATATTATTTTTAAAAATGAGGAAGGTTGTTTAAAGAGTGAGTAGCCCACTATTGTATATTTTTACCTTGTTTCTTCAAAGTAAATGTTCATATCATTCAGAATCTTTTTGTGTGTCTTCATGACCTCAGCAAAGACCCTGGAACATAGCATGTCCCTAGTAGATACTGTAGAATAAATCTATTAATTCACTTTTACCCAATAATTTGTCAACACTTCAGAAAAACAAGTTAATCAATTGTATTGATTTTGAAAAAAAGAAAGTAAATTAATCTGTAGAATGCAATATTAGTTTCTAAACTGTGTGTGTGTATGTTTGATGAAATGACATAATGTGACTACTTTACCCGAGAAACTTCAACTTTTTTATAAGAGACTATATATCAGAAAAGTTTAGGATTGAAATTGAAGGCAAATATATTTACCTTCGGGGTTTGACTCAGCAACTTTCAGATGACTGACCTTAGAGGAACTATACGACTTCATTAAATCGGTTTATAGCTACAACTGGAAATACATGAGTGTATACCTCATATGGAGTTTGTGAGCATTAAATGAGATATGCCCTAAGTGTTCCACCTATTGCAAGCATAAAAGTACTCAAAATGTTAGCCATTAGCATTATTGATGGTAATCAGGTTTCCTATTATCATTGCAAGAGGATTATAAAATGGATGTTGTGATACAGCACAGTCTAGAAATAAACTTCTTTTTGTAAAATACCCCATTTTTTATAAGAACAAGTCAATAAAAGTCTTAGGTGAATTTACAAGTTTTACAATTTATCTTAGGTAAAGGATCTCACTGTCACTGTGCTTAAAAACAAATTTGGCCGGGTGCGGTGGCTCACGCCTGTAATCCCAGCACTTTGGGAGGCCGAGGTGGGCGGATCACGAGGTCAGGAAATCAAGACCATCCTGGCTAACACGGTGAAACCCCGTCTCTACTAAAAATACAAAAAATTAGCTGGGCGTGGCGGCAGGCACCTGTAGTCCCAACTACTCGGGAAGCTGAGGCGGGAGAATGGCGTGAACCGGAAGGCGGAACTTGCAGTGAGCAGATATCGCACCACTGCACTCCAGCCTGGGCGACAGAGCCAGACTCCGTTTCAAAAAAAAAAATCAGAAATGTTTGGCACATAATCATCCCTTCGTACAAAGGTTACAAATTGTCTTAATAAGTATGGGGTTTTGGTAGTAAGCATGTGTGTGTATCTTGGGGGAGGTGGGCATGTAACATGCTTAAGTAATTGTGAATCAAAGATTCCTTCTCTTCAGTATTTATAAAATGTGCCATTAAATGTTAGCTTTTATTTCAACAAATTCCATGTACTTCTAATCATAGGATTTATTTTAACCTTTGCAACAGTTTGAAGATCAAGCGTTTTTAAAATTTTGCACAAAAGATAATAGCAGTTGAATAGCTCTCAGTTATTGCAACATAGTACTTTTATAAAGTATATTTTAATAACGTGCTTTATATGCAATCTCCTTACAAGATGTTATAGATTTAATATTTCATTATAATTCATAGTATTATGATGGTGGTGATTTTATACTTGTATGCGTGAACAGTTTGTAATGCCTGACTGTGTTTTTTTCAGGGATATGTTTACTCTTAGATGGCTCAAAAGAAAGACGATCCTTCCGACTTGTGTCCTTCCAAGGGTGGTCCGCAGCATTACAGAAGTCAACCTACTGTGTCTCACGTCACTGTTGAATTAGATGGGTTACTGAGGGTGGAGGTTCAAAGTTGGAGTTATCCTCAATATCCCTCTCACCTTGATCTTCAAAATAATTATGGTATTTGCATGCGACATTTTGAAATATTAGACATGTCCATCTGTCAATATGGAATGTGGTTATCCATCATTTTATTCTACTTTTTCTTCTTCTCCTTAAATATTGAAAAGTAAGTACCAATTAAAGATATACTTTCCTCTATGCCTTCAGAAGGCAAAGCATTTCTCCTTCCACTTAGTAAAATGTATTCCTTCCTCAGACTCAGTATTAGGATCAGTTTGTATGAATCAAAAATCATAGAGAAACAGAATGTTGGATTCCAAAGGGCACTAGAAAGTGCTGAAGACACCCAGGTTATTGTACAGATGTGTAACATATGGCCATAGAGTGACAGGATTTAAAAACTGTCTCGCTAATTGCAATTTTTAAAAAGCTTTAATGACAAAAATGTCCAAGGCGTGAACTGTCTAGAATAGTAACAACTACCATAATATTTAGTCCCCACTCAGTGAACTAGGATATCACATCTGTTGCTTAGGGGAATACCTAAAGGACAAATCTTACATAGTACCTTTCTCAATGAGGAAACTGAGGCTTAACAACACTAACTCTCATGCAATGATACAAGCTGAGTATGGGGGCTATTGTGGCAGGAATTGAAGCCTCGCTTTGTCTAACTTCAGAGCAGAATCACAATCCTCCAGGCTACCATATTTCTCAGTGAAAAAGATACAAGCCTGGACTCTTGACCAGCAGAGGTCAATAAAGGTATTGCAAGGTAGGATATTGCATAGAAGCTCTTCATTTCAGGCAATAAAGATGACAGAAAAATAGACAAGCCACCGGGGTTATAACAACAAAAAAAGGTAGAAGCTGTGTTGAAAACTTGCTAATGGTTTCAGAAATGTATCCTAATCATCGTTTTCTAATTCTGTATAAATGTGTGTGTCTGTGGATATGTGAATTTGTATACCTCCTGGTGTTTCAAACACAAGGCTATGGCTCATAAAAAGCATGGCTTGGGTAAAACAATATACTTTAAATAGTAAATTGTAAAATAGAAAATACTATTCTTTAAAAAGTTTCAAATTAAGTATCTGCATTCAGTCAATCAGTCTTAATGCTTACAGTTTTCAGGGGAGAAAGAGGACAATCTCTCTTAGCCCAAGCCCTTGCTAGGTGGAAGAGAAAAGTTTCCCTTGTGCTGACCCTTTTATAAAATTTAAAAGAGAAAGCCAGAACCTTGTGGAGTTTACAGAGTAGCAGAAGGAGAGGATTTTGTATTTACAAAGATTCTTCCAAGGCTCTAATTCCAAAGTAAGAACGCTTTCTTCTGCTACCTCAAAAGTTCTCTTGAGATAGAGGAGTCTTCAGATGCAGACTTTTACTTCCCTATCACATCTCAAGGAGCAGTTCCCAGCATGCTGATTTTCTTTGTAAATGTGACAACACTTCCCTACCAGGTCACAGTACATAACTGTGTCCCAGTACTTGCAAAGCCGAGTGACACTCAACTGTGCTAACTTTTCTCACCCAAATCCAAGCCTAGCGAAGTATTCCTATAGGAAGACAGCTGCAAAAGCCTTCCTCGAACATTAGCAAAAGAATTATCCAATATTCTTGCATGTGTGGTTTCCTGGCCTGCGTTATGTAGCACTCACAATGTGGGGTGCTAGGCTATGTTAAAGAGTACCATCTTAGATGATGTGAAGCTCAGAGGTCACAAGGCAGTACAGGCTTTTGAAAATCTCATTCAATAATATGCCCAGGGAGGCCGGGTGCTGTGGCTCACGCCTGTAATCCCAGCACTTTGGGAGGCTGAGGTGGGTGGATCACGAGGACAGGAGATCGAGACCATCCTGGCCAACATGGTGAAACTCCATCTCTACTAAAAATACAAAAATTAGCTGGGCGTGGAGGTGTGTGCCTGTAATCCCAGCTACTCGGGAGGCTGAGGCAGGAGAATCACTTGAACCCGGGAGGCGGAGTTTGCAGTGAGCCCAGATCACGCCACTGCATTCCAGCCTGGTGACAGGACTAGACTTCGTCTTAAAAAAAAAAAAAAAAAAAAAAACATTGCCCAGGGAGGAAGTCTATTATTAATGCAGGTTCTCAGTTCATATTTGCCAGTGTAAGTAGGGAAGTAGCATAGTCCTTGGATTTAAAAGGGACCACATAAACCATGTGATTGGGTGGTGCACGTAAAAGGATATCTCACTCAGGGCTTTCCTACCTTGCTGCACTGGCATGCTGCAAGATTTAGGAGTGGATGTCTTAAGAGGCCTGCTCTGTAGGGCAACCTGGAACTGCAGTGTTAATCTCAACACACTTTGAATGGTGAAGAGTTACCATATGGGTGGGAACACCATCTGTAATGCTGATGGATTCACAAAAGCCTCTGGTGAGGCAATATGATCACTAGAGAAAACACAAGACAAGGTGTCCAAAGGTCTGGTTTCTAGTGTGGGGCTAATGCCATCTTAGTCATCCCACTTGGCCTTCTGGGTTATTGGGATGATCAAAAGAAATACTTGGAAGAGCAAATCGTGTTCGATAAAAGTAAGCACTTTTCCATGAGAGCTTTGCTCCCATTTCCACAAGAGCCCTTCCGTGTGTAAAGAAACATAAGGAAGAACCAAGTAAACTGAGGGAGGGGGTGGCACAGTTTAGGCAGAGGAAGTATAGGTTTTGGAAATAAGCTAGTTTTGCATTCCAATCCCAATTCCCCACCTTATTAGCCAACCTGGGACAGTGACTAAATTTCTCTGAACCTATTTCTTTATCTGTTAAAAGGGGGTTGATATTAATAGCCCTATCTCACAGGATTCAGGTAAGATCTAAATGAGAGTTCATATATCCTGGAAGGTACTAGGTAGTCAAAAAAGTATTATTTTCCTTGGTTCTATCTATGTATATTCTCCAACTTCCACCTCCCTTGTTCTTTACTGAGCTATTAAAAATGTATTTGCTCACCACATAAATATATACACATACTAAGTACCCATAAAAGTTAAAAATAAAAGGTTTTATAAAATGCATTTGCTCAAATATATTTGTAAAGTAGCAGAAACAGAAAACTAGCATTAGCCTTTTCTGTGGCCATTTTAGATCATTTTAAAATTAACTGCATAAATTAAGTTGTTTTTATACCCAAATATACTAGAAAGATAAATCTTGTTTTAAAATATCTTTTGCCAATATTTCAAAAGCCCATTTCATAATCTTTTTGTTTTTTTTTTTTTGAGACCGAGTCTCACTCTGTCGCCCAGGCTGGAGTACAGTGGCACAATCTTGGCTCACCGCAACCTCCACCTCCCAGGTTCAAGTGATTCTCCTGTTTCAGCCTCCCAAGTAGCTGGGACTGCAGGTGAGTGCCACCATGCCCGGGTAACTTTTGTATTTTTAGTAGAGATGGGGTTTCACCATATTGATCAGGCTGGTCTTGAACTCCTGACCTCATGATCCACCCACCTCGGCCTCCCAAAGTGCTGGGATTACAGGCGCAAGCCACCACACCCGGCCCCCATTTCATAATTTTAGAGAGTTTTAGACAGATGTAAACTGTCCAAGGGCTTACCCATATACCTTTTCTACCTCCCACGTCTCTTCTAAGCTGATGTCATAGTCTGTAAGTAGAAAGCATGTGACAATTTTGTTTAAAGACTAATTATTAAATTATTATGTTTCACATCTGATTTGAGGTAAAATGGCCATGATTTACCTTCTAGTGCCAATTCCTAGAAAATGTGTAGGGTTAAAAAACAAAATTGGTCTCTGAAAATTCAAGAACAAAAAAAGATCATCATGTTTGTTGGTTCACTCAGATTGTTCCGACTTCATGCCAAGTCCTGTCAGCCTCAGCTATTCGGCAAACGTCATGTGTTAGAATCAAAATGCACAACTTTCCAAAGCAAAAACAAAAAAAATCAGAACCTGTGTGAACAGAAAAGTATATACAAAAGTATACATTAACCCATCCATCCAGGGGCTAAAAGAAATTAGCCTGGGCCTAGTGAGAATCACTCAGTGGACCCTGAATCCATTCCATATGGCTTTTGTCTGCTTGCTTATCCTCCGCCTTCCCTCTTTCTCTCTGGGGACTATCCTACTCTCTTTCCTTCCCTCAGTCTTCATTTTCACTTTACCTCATTTTCTCTCTCATTGGTTTTGATCCTCTGTGTTTCTTGAATGCTGTGATCCTGTGAAAATCTCTTACTTTCTGTATGTTTTCTGGCTCTAGGCTCCTTTTTTAAAATTTATTTTTATCTTTATTATTATTATTTTTTTGAGTCAGGATCTTGCTCTGCCACCAAGGCTGGAGTGCAGTGCTGCCAACACAGCTCATTGCAGCCTTGATTCTCCTGCCTCAGCCTCTGGAGTAGCTGGAACCACAGGTGCATGCCACCACACTCAGCTAATTTTTAAAAATATTTTGTAGAGCTGGGGTCTTGCTGTGTTGCCCAGTCTGGTCTCAAACTCCTGGGCTCAAGTGATTCTCCTGCCTCAGCCTCCCAAAGCACTGGGATTACGGGTGTGAGCCACTGCGCCCAGCTTAGGTCCTTTCTTATGTTGTATCACTTGTAGTGTGACTTTTGCTTTGTATTTTTGGATTTATGTCTCACCCTCTATTTGCCACTTGGCTCTGTGGTTTGTGTCCTTTGACACTGTCGTACCATCTCATTTTGTTTACGTGAATGTGATGATGGGGAGCTGGGAGAGTCTCCATGTTTATTGTTTGGTCTTTCAGCTTTTTTTTGCTTGTGTCTTTCCTCCAACTGGTGGGATGGAAGAAACTATAGGAACATTTAAATGCATTCTTTCTTGGGGGTTTGATGGGGAGGGTCTCGCTGTGTTGCCCATGCTTGAATGCAGTGCCATGATCATACAGCTCACTGCAGCCTCCAACTCCCGGGCTCAGGCGATCCTCACAACCTTAGCTTCCCAATGTGCTGAGATTATAGGCATGAGTCACAGTCTTAAATGCATTTCTGATAGGCTAGTTGGAATGTGAAATTTGGGTTCAGCTATTAAAAACTAAGACCTTTCTTTACAGTAAGAGTTTAATGACAGGAAAAACAGAAGAGAGTACTTGAAAAACAGTGGCCTTGATCAATAGGTTCAGCCACTGCAAACATCTAATGATTTCTGAAAACATCTCGAAAAGCTGATTATAAATGTTCCTACAAAGTCAAGGATGCAATCAGAGGATGAGCTTTGCCAAAGGAAAGCTCCTTTAAGAGAAAAAATAATAGGATGTGCACACACACACACACACACACACATGAGTATGACAAAAGGCAAACTGCAATGAGAAATTCATTTATACTTTTAGGTTCCTATACACACACAAAAAAAAAAAAAAGCAAAGAAAAACTCCACTATAAATAACCCTGCCACATTCTAAATAAAGCTTTTGAGTGGCTAGGGAGTCTGACTTGCTTCTAAGAGTTACAGGATTTGGTCATTTTTAATAGCATGTTTGCTCTTTCATCAAATTACTGTTCCTCAGAGTATTTGCTAAAGGCATAAAGGGGTTATTCTTAGTGGCCAAGGTGCACCAGTAGCAGAGGACATGACCAGAACTGCTCAGGAGAAAGTCACCAAGTTGGGGGCTGGAATGGAAGAAATGCAACAGAGAAGTACATATCTATTTGGAAAAAGACTTATAAAGTTACAAGGGGCGTCAGGGAAGTCACTGCACAGAGCTAAGTAAATTACAGATCCCACCTCTGGAGCCTCTGTAATATTGTCCACCAGCTCAGTTTCCAAGAGTACAGGGAATTGTTACTAAATTATTCAGCATTAACACAATTAGTTCAAGCAACTGAAGGGTACAAGCGTTTTGTCTTCTTTTAATTCCTGTCTATGTGTACAGGTTTTTATTTTTCATTCCACTCTTCTTTTTGGTGTTCTGGGATTCTCACTTTAAGAAGAACCTAGAAAATTGCTCAGTTTTGGCTAAAGATTCCAGTGAGCTCTCTAACTTTATGCTACAGCTCTGGCGTGGTTAAAAGCTCTGCCCAGCTCAGGCAAAACCAGAATCATTACACTCTGGTCACCAAGCCAGTGAGAATTTACTTCCATCCAAAAGTCTTAATTCTCTTATCTGCAAAATGGAAAATAATAACATGTAAATATATTTAAAGCATGTAGCAAGATGTCTGCAATTTTCAATAAAACCATTTTTCTCTTCTTGTTACTCCTTCTCCATCATTTTTTCTTATTCATCAGCATGATCACTTTTAATATATTTTTAAAATGAGAAAGCAAAACATCAAGATACTAGGCTAACCCCCGTATTAGGAGAATAACCCCCAAATTGTGGTGTACTTGGTAGCAGCCCTGCCCGGGCCCAGGCTATACCAATGTCCTCTCCTCTGATTCCCATAAAATAAATAAAACAGAGCCAGCACAGGCATAATCTTCAAGGACATTTTTCTTTTCAAAAGGGATTTATGTACACCTCTGTTCCTGACTAGCAAAGCATATAGAGGTGCAAAAAATATGTGTGGTGGCTTTGTAATTAGAGAAACATCTCTCATTGTCTGCTCAAATCTTACTAAACCTTTTACATTCTCATTATGAGACCATACCTTTGTTTCCTTCCATAATCTCACTGTTCTCATCTGCAAATTGGGGTCACAGCCTAGCACACTGTGCACCTACCACATAAGGTTCAAATGAGATCGTGTGTTGCCATGGTGACAGGAACAAAATCTGTGATCACCACGCACAGGTTTGACTCTGGGCTTCATCACGTAATCACTATTTGTCTCCCCTGCACCTTCTAGTGGAAATGACTATTCCCTTCAGTGACTTTCTCCCGATCTGGTAATGTGTATAATGGTACCTTTATCAGGGGATTGATGTGAAGATTGAATAGGCAAACTTTAATAAATTGTCAGCCATATAGTAAACACTCAATAGATACTATCATTTTATTCAGGTTACTTAAAATCTCTTTTTCTCTTGGGGGTAGGCACGGTGGCTCACGCCTGAAATCCCAGCACTTTGGGAGGCCAAGATGGGCGAATCACCTGAGGTTGGCAGTTCGAGACCAGCCTGACCAACATGGAGAAACACGATCTCTACTAAAAATACAAAAAAAAATTAGCCGGCCATGGTGGCATATGCCTGTAATCCCAGCTACTCAAGAGGCTGAGGCAGGAGATGCGCTTGAACCCGGGAGGTGGAGGTTTTGGTGAGCCAAGATCACACCATTGCATTCCAGTCTGGGCAACAAGAGCGAAACTCCATTTCAAAAAAAAAAAACAAACCCTCTTTTTCTCCCCCATTTTCATGTCCCTGGATAATGTCATCAGTTTCCTAGTCTCAACCACATATTCACAGAAAAAAAAATAAATAAATGTATGCAACCCAGCTGGGTTATTCTTAGGATTAGGGAGAAATAAAAATATGCATGTAGTATTTTATTCCCTGCTGTTTCTCAATATTCCTCAGCCCTTCTGATCAGGCTCATTTGTATTTTGCTACTGCCTTCCATGGAAGCCCAGTGACATTTGATACTCTGTAGATTTCAGAACACACCTGCTGCATTGTGGTAAATGCATATAGAGAAAAGGAAGTAGTCCATGGAACTGAGCAGACAACAGTTAATAGTTCTCACTGAGGAACTGAGCTGGTGGTAGGAGCACGGGTGCACACGCAGGCAGTTGCTTTTCACCATCACCTGCAATGTGGAAGGAGTCCCATCAGCCCACCATGTTCATCACCTACCACATGGGGTTCAAATAAAATCAACAGCTGTTTCCTTCCAAAACCTCACTAGGGCTTTTCCAAACACTAGCCTCCTTGACCCTTTTTTAAAATTGGGTGGTATTCAAAAGTGACTCTGGCTGGGTACAGAGAGCAAAAAAGCATGATTTGACCCACACAGGGGTTGATTGATGATTGGCTGATTTCCCAAAAACTAAATGTGTATTTCATTTTAAAGCCTTTAATGTGCATAAGAATGACCTGGGGGTAGTGTTAAAACAGATTCTGATTCAATAAGTCCAGGTGTACAGATGTTGAATGAAATTCTGTATTTCTAACTAGCTCCCATGTGTTGCTGCTGGTGGTCTGCAGACCTCACTTTGAGTAATAAAAATGTAGTGTATTATATTTCTCCTCTAGGATATAACATCTAAAGGGATTCCTAAACATATTAAAATCTGAGGTTAGAGAGCCAGTGCTGATGAGAAAACACGCTCATATCTTAACTGAGTATTCCGATTTTTGTGCACAAGGCTGCCTATTGAAATATTGTGTAATGAAATATTCAAAGACTTAGGGACAGAAATGTGGATGACCAAATTAGGCCAAGGTGTGTATGTGCATGCAGGTGGGTGAACTTAAGTTAATTATAATGGAAATGATATGTACAGATGGAAAATGCTGAACTATTTTTAAAATACCACTGTCTAGCAAACATTCTTAGCCAGGCCAAAAGAAATTCTGTAAACACTGTAACACTTTTATGTTTCTTAAATAACATCGTTCCATAAATAACTTTTCTAGGTCATTCCTATCTGTTGAAAAAATTACAGGCAACCTGTAGGCTGATTATATTACTTGAAGACTCATAAGATAGTTTCCCATTTAAAAAATCAAATATAAAACCTTCACATCTGGTTAATATCTGGTCTATTCCATAGTTATGGAACTTGTTTAAAGTGCATTTAGCAATGCAGAAAGATTGTAGCTGTTCTTTCTCTCTTCACGGTTTCATAAAAATGATTAAATAAGCCTAGTGCTTTATTAATTGATGAGATTGGCCATACAAGTGTTTAGCAGAGGTGTAGTTTTTAAAACGAGATTCTATTTACCAAATTTGTTTTACATTAAGTAATGGTCCCCAAGAATTTGCTATGAATGGATGGCATTGATGTTAAGATAATTGAAAAATATATTATTTTTTCTCATTTTATTAAGTTTTACATTTTAATAAAAGCATATTAAGAAAATAAAATGCAGAAAATTATTTTTTAAAACTCATAATCCAACCACATATATTGGCGGAAAAAAGATTGAATATATTGATATATTTCCTTACAGGTTCTCCTGTATTGCTTTGCGGTATAGTTACTAATCTGAATCAATGTCAGAAATTAACTCCTCAATTTTTTTTAAGGTGGGTTACCTGGATATCACATACTCATTAGATATAATCATGCATTTGGGATTTTTTTATGATTCTGTGTTGTTTTCAACTGGGGAAATCTCCACATCAAAACAGTGAATAGTGGTTATAGACGTGATTTGCATTCTCTTTAAATTAACTACTTAAGGCCGGGCGCGGTGGCTCACGCCTGTAATCCCAGCACTTTGGGAGGCCGAGGCGGGTGGATCATGAGGTCAGGAGATCGAGACCATCCTGGCTAACAAGGTGAAACCCCGTCTCTACTAAAAAATACAAAAAATTAGCCGGGCGCGGTGGCGGGCGCCTGTAGTCCCAGCTACTGGGGAGGCTGAGGCAGGAGAATGGCGTGAACCCGGGAAGCGGAGCTTGCAGTGAGCCGAGATTGTGCCACTGCAGTCCGCAGTCCGGCCTGGGCGACAGAGCGAGACTCCGTCTCAAAAAAAAAAAAAAAAAAAAAAAAAAAAAAAATTAACTACTTAAATCAAGAGCATTGGCAATGTGTATGCATTTGTGGGGGTGAAGGTAATTGAAAAAATAGCGGTAGAATGACTGAAAGTATTGAATATGGGTGTATGGGTGAGCAGGATAATGGGCACTAATGGCTCATTATTTTTGTAAATTTGAATACATACATCTATATTCATGGTTTGAAGATAGATACAAAAATGTTTAAATGTATTTTTTCATGTTCACACACATATTTTAACAGATATATGCCAGGCACTCTGACTGTATCACACATATATTTTAATAATTATTTTCTATACACATTTTATATCTTGCCTTTGATATTTATTAAGTTGCAACCACACTCTTATGTTATAAATCTTAATTTTTTAATGACTTTATGCTATTCTGTCACGTGAATATGCAATGAGTCACTTTCCAGTCATGTAGCATTTATATTTGCCCAATGCTTCCCTGTGAATTTCAGCTTCATACTTGTAATAGGAATCAATACTCTGAACTTGTTTTTTTATACTGACTATCTTGTTGCAATCTATTTAAAAAACAGAATTATATAATCTGGTTGTGTCATCCGTAAACATATGACTGCTATTATTTTGCTTCAAGTGGGAAAAATATCTGCCTTCATGAGATGACTCTCAAATAGCTGACAAAATATGCAAGATTCTTCTTATAAGAAAGCTGAGAATTTACTTCTCAGAGCATCTACAAACATAAGCATTGATTATCCACTCTCTCTCACCTCATCCCTTGGTAAGGAATGAGATGAGCAGGGTGAGAGTCTGGAGCTACAGGAAAAAACAAAAAGGATTAAGAGACGATTTGGGAGTTTGCTCATGAACAAACTAAGCTAAGAAATCCTCCATGTGCATGTGTGTGCATGTGTAGGTGAGCATGTCATGTGTAGGTGAGCATGTGTGTGTTTAGGGTTTCTGCTAATTTCTGCTAATTTAAATGACTAATATTATTCTCTTTATTTATATTATTTATATTAGCAGCCAAAGATTTCCAACAGCTCTGGGATACCCCTATTTCTAAGTCGGAACATTGGACAAGAGGGAGCCAACTCTTGTTGTCTGGCCAGGTTGAGACATGCGTGCTGACTTGCATTCCTGCCAAATTATTGGTGCACAAGGCTCTGTCTGAGTAGGTAGAAGCTTCATGGAACTGACAGTGAATTGTTCCCACAAGGCCAAAGATACAATTAAGCTGTGACTGCGTAGTCCAACGCTCTTAACATGCAAACAGCCAGCAAAAAATAATGGCATGTCAAGTGCAATTTTCTCACCCGTCGCAGACACCGTAAACTGTAATATAGTGTAATTATTTGGCATCCCGTGTCCTTCATACTAAGCACCACCCAAATGATTTCCAAGTTACAGTAAAGAGGGAAGGTTAGAAGGTCAAATTTAAAGAGAGAAAATGAGTCAGTGCCTTGGAGGAAGAGAATTATAAATAGATGTGGCATTACCAGCAAGAGAGTTACATCCAAATAAGGAACAGCTCAGAAGCCCAGGTAGGAGGAATAAAGGGAGGAAAGAGAGCAGAGAAGTTTATGTAAGAGAGAGGATTTAGTATAGAAGAACTATGACCACCTGCAGAGCAGACTGGTTTTTTTTTTCCCAAAATAAGCAATATAAGGAATTGAGGATCACAGGACTTACAGAACAAGGACTAAAGCAACCTGAGCCAAAAATCGATGTTACATATACCCCCCCACCACAAACACACACACACACACAGAGGCTGAGCATCTCTAATCCGAAAATCTGAAATCTAAAAAGCTCCAACATCTGAAAGTTTTTGAGCACTGACATGACACTAGAAGTAGAAAATTCCACACCTGACTTCATGTGATGGGTCACAGTCAAAGCTTTGTTACATAAAAATGTTATTTTAAAAATTATAGAAAATTTCCCTCAGGCTATGTGTGTAAGGTAAATATGAAACATAAATGAATTTCATGTTTAGACTTGGCTCCATTCTCCAAGATATCTCAATATGTGTGCAAATATTCCAAAATCTGAAAATATCTCAAATCTGAAATACTTCTAGTCCCAAGCATTTTAGAAAAAGGATATTCAATGAACATGTGGGGCATGTGTGTGTGTGTTTGTGTGTGTGTGTATTCCAGTTCCATAGGGGTTTGTATCTTAAATATATAATATCTTAATCCCATACACTCAGAAGTGAGGAAATTGCACCTAACAGAAATGACTTTATTTCCCAGTTACTTTGTAGTAGAATTAAAAGAGAAAGAAGCCAGATCTCCAAGAGATCCTTGCTTATCTTTCTAACTTGACACAAGAGACTTTAAGCCTAGTTCTCTGTGTTTCAGCGCAATGGACTGAATGTTTACGACCTTCGTATGTTGAAGTTCTAATCTTCAATTTGATGGTATTAAGAGATGGGTCTATTGAAAGGTAATTTGGTCATGAGGGTGGAACCCTCATGAAGGTAACTAGAGCCCTTCTGAAAGAAGCCCCAGAAAGCTTCCTTGCCCTCTTTCTACCAATGTGAGAATACAAGAAGATTGCAGTCTACAAACTGGAAAAGGGCTCTCACCAGAACCAACCATGCTGGCACCCTGATCTTAAAGATTACCAACCTCCAGAATTGAGGGAAATAAATTTCTATTGTTTATTAGCAACCCAGTCTATCTTAACTTATTATACAGCAGAACTGACTAAGACACACTCAGTTACCCTGACCCTCTCTCAGCTCTGCATATAGCCTTGAACATGCTATTTCCTCTATCAAAAATGCTCTTTTTCTCTTTATCCCTGAACCCTGGTTCAACAACAGGTTAATGCATATCAGCTTCCAGGTTACTTCCTTTGGGAAGATTCCATCCTTCCATAGAATAGGGCAGCTTCCTCTGTATATGCTTCAAGAGAACCACATTCCTTCATGTCAGAGTACTTATTTCAGTTTTCTTGTGATGTTTCTTCATGTGATTATCCGTTTTAATGTCTGTCTCCCTCTAGGAGCTCATTAGTTCCATGCAGAAGGCATAGATAGATCTGTGTTTGCTCAGAGCTGAGAATCCATTGGCAATGAAATGCTCTGCAGATAGTAGATGCTCAATAAATATTCGTGGCATGGTTGTATCAATCACCGTCCTGACTTGCAGCCAAGGGTTCTCATAATGACATCAAGCTGTCTACCATAAAGAGTATCTGCACATTTTACCACAGAATAGTATTTTTGTGTTGTGGCCAGATTCATCAAAAACCACCACAGGTTTTCTCTTTCCTAAGACCAGAACAAATAAGCATAATTGGGCTAAGTGTCCCATGAGCCACTTTTTTCTCTATCACAATTTCCAAAGAAAGTCAACACTGAGGTACATGGAGATGTGAATGCTCAATGTTTATGTGTTTATGAACAGGCTCTGCCTTGCCTTGGTCCACAGAGGACTGGAGGCAGGAATAGAGTCTATTTGACTGGTATTTGCTTTTCAGAAATCCAGACAAAAGCTTTCTGCTCCAGTTTGTACCATAAGCCCAAACACAAAAGTCTGAAGATAGTTGGAAGACAACGTCTTGCTTTATGACAGTGGTAAGAAAGACAGTCTCCACAGAGGTAATTCTGCAGCTTTTTGAAAGAGAGTTGCTTAAACAAGTTAACATTTTCTTCATGCCCACTACCTCAAAGAAAGACTTTCAAAATCAATACATAAAAAAAATTGTTAACTACCCAGGTGGTCTATAAAATACTCATATGAAAGAGAGAACATGAAAGTTCCTTTATTGAAAAATGCCACTGAGCTTATATGACTATTATACATTCTTCCATTATGTAGGTAAATTATTCATTTATTTTTTCATGTAAAGTATTTACTGAGCAGTTCCTATATGCAGGCAGGGTTCTAGGTTCTGGGAATACAGAGCAAAGACCAAAGGACTCAAAAATCCTTTTCTTTGCGGAACTTGCATCCTAGAAGAGACAAATAATAAACATAATAAGGTATAGAGTATGTTAGATAATGATTATCAGGAAGAAAAACAGTCAAGCATAGACAAAGGGTATGAAATATTAAAGGAGGAACAATTACATTTTAGAAGAACTGATAGGGAAAAACTCTCTAAGAATATGACTTTCAGGCCGGGCACAGTGGTTCACACCTGTAATCCCAGCATTTTGAGAAGCCAAGGCCAGAGGACTGCTTAAGCTCAGGAGTTTAAGATCAGTCTGGGAAACACAGGATACCCCATCTCTACAAAAGATTTAAACAAAAATAGCCAAGCATGGTGGTGCATGATTGTAGTCCCAGCTATTAAGAAGGGACTATTCACTTGTGCCTGGGAGATCGAGGCTTCAGTGAGCTGTGAGTGCATCACTGGACTCCAGCTTGAGTGACAGAGCAAGACCTTATCTTAAAAAGAAACCAATATATTTGACCACTAACTTCATTCCATTTCAACAGAAAATATAAAGGCTTTTGTTGCTTCTGACCGAGGGAAGCATCTTACTCTCAGTCATCTTACTCTCTCCCCAGTGACTTTGCATAAACTCCTCTATCTTGCTGGGGCACTTCACTTCCCACCCCACACCCCCGGGCCAGTGACTCTTCAAGACACACAGAAACATCACCTCCACACTATACAACATGTACCTGTGAAGGGGCTCCCAGAGTCTTGTTATTCACCTAGTGAGGTAATTGTTAATTTGTCTGCCACTCCAACTACAAACACATACACACACACATACAATTAAGAATACAATTACAACTACAATTACTATATAGCAGGCACTATGCTTCTATTATTTTCTTTACTCTTACAAATTCTTATTTATCTTATTTGCATAATCCTTGAAAAACTTCAGTAACCTTCTCAGGGTTAACACCCAGAAAGTGGCCAAGCTCATATTCAGACCTCGAGAGAGTACATCTCTGATGCTAAGGAGCTTTCTCAGCATCCAGCTGCCTACCAATATACTAAAAACAGATGATGGATGCTGTAAGGTTATATGTGAAGCTCTGAAGAACCTATCGCTCAAAAACTAGCTCTGCCCTTGAGCTTGAACTCAGCCTGCTAGGTCAGAGGCGCCGCCATGGTGACTCGCAGGAGGGCCTTTCAAAGAGCAGGTGTGCTCATAAGTAAGTAATGCTTCTCAGCCGGTTCCTGGGGAGAAGCTGGGAGGTGAAGTGGTTTAAAGAGTCGGATGTGGAAGAGTGTGCACAGAGGTAAAACACTAAAGCACCGGTGGGCACCCCGATTCAGATCATCTTCGCACTCAGCCTGACTCATAATCTGAAGCAGTCACCTGAAATGTATTTTTGGCTACGCTACAACCCAAGATCCTCCAAGGCTACACTGTCATAATTCAGGAGCATTTTTCTTTAAAGGGAAATAGGTATGATGGGAAATGTTCGCAGAAAAGTTTTCCAGAAAATAAACTCTGACTTAACAATTGTTTGGGAATTGGTCATGGTAGGAAACCGTGAAAAGGCTAGATAAAAACCATCACTAAGACTCAAAAGCATTTGGGCTATTTCAAAATCCTAAGGTTCACTGGCAACATTTCTGTCATTCAGAGAAGCATGAACGTCTCACGTGTCAATAAGTCACAAGAAGATGCTGAATGCCTGGCTGTTTACCTCTATCTCTATTACTTCATGTAAGGAATGGAGATGAAATCAGTTATCGGATTCTGAGTCCAAAGCAACCCCACGTTAATTACTTTTTCTACCCAGATAAAAATGAATTGTTCTCCCAGGCATAGCATGTTTTGTTATTTACATTATGCAAGACACAGTCAGAGTGATATACCTTCATAAAAAGATAACTAAGAAAAGCAAGGAACAAAGCATCCACTATGTAAATATGCATGTATTCCCAGAATTTCATATGGTATAAGAACGCCTTGCCTTAGGGCTGATTAAAGAAGTTCTGAATATCCAGAAGTAGGCATGTAAAGACCTTACATTCTATACTCAATAACTCATAAGTGTAAATTACAGTTTAAACTCCAGTTAGCTGGTTCCTAATATGTAATAAGGTATAGTGGGTGAAATAATGGCCACTGGCATTTCCAACAGGATTCAAACTCAGGCAGATAATTTACCAGCTCTGTGATCTTGGTTTGGTTTATTAATCCATCTAAACCTCACTTTTGTACCTACAAAAAAGATAAGATAATGCTGGTAAAGAAGCTCATATCCAAAACCCATGGGGCCAGATGTATCTTGGAATTCAAAACTTTTCATACTTCAGAAACATTAAGGTATATAAACTATATGGTAAGTAACACCCTCAGCAGGGTCTGGGGCAGCACCCTGTAATCAACCACATTAACATTTTTTGCAGCAAAATATATGAACAGTCACAATTACGCACTATGACTATAATAGCCTCAAGTCGGTTCTGCTCCCTGAGTTTGTATCAAGGATACAAAAAAATCTTTCAGATTTTACACTTTGAACTTAGGACAGAGGGAGTGCAGACTTGTTTCATACATATATATTTGTATCCATACATGCAAATGAACATATATATGCATATACTGAAGGGGGGCTATTGTTTGAATCAGAAAGGTTGGTGCCCACAAAATGCTTTTATAATAGTGTTCAACAGACAATAAACACTCAGTATTGGCCAAAACATAAGTTCCTTAAAGGCAGAGATCACTGTTTTGTTCATTGATACGCCTCCTGTGTCTAATAGAGCATCTGGCACATAGGAAAGGCTCAATAAATATCCATGTAATGATTCATGATATCTCCTTATGCAGGCTTTCTTCATCCAAGTAGAACCATATGAAATGAGAAACATAGTCCTTGGGGAGGCTCAATTTGTTTTGCAAGACAATAGGGTAAAAGCAGTAATGCAATCAGAAGTTCCCAGTGAAACACAAAGAGTTAACTCAAGTCTTGAAGATCAGCATTTAATTCCCCTCCTATTTTTCTTTTAAATCATTGCATTTGGGAAGTGAATAACATTGGCCTGATTCACTTCTAAAGCTTATCAAGAAAATCAGTCATTGGCAGGCTCATAATTGGAATTATACCTACATGAAGATGTGCATCAAAATTAAAAGGAGCTTATGAACAGTTCTGAGGAATAAACACGTGTAGTCTCCAATAACCCAGTGTGATTTTGGAAAGCAGGCAGCCCATGTCTACACAAAGAACATTTGTCTAACCTGCCAACAACAGCAAAACAAATGTAAGTCCAGTCTAACACACACACGCGCGCGCGCACACACACACACACACACACACACACTCCACTAAACTAAAATTTTGATTCTGTACATTTGATTTCACCTGACAATGAATGAACTAGTTTCCTATTGCAAAGTTTTTCAAATAGTACAATGCACAGTTAAGCATCTACTTTAAGAACTTCCTTTTCTCCATCCTAGGTCAATTATTGAAAAAGCAGATGATAAAACAAAAAAGATAAATATCCACCTGCAATTAGATATATCTGCATAGCCTTAAAATAAAATAAAACAAAATAAACTCTCAGTAATTGAAGTGGTAGGAATTCAAACTGAGAAAATGTGCGTATCTCTTCCAAGTACTATAAACTAGAGAAAAGGTTTGGCATGAGATCTCTCTCGTGTGAGTGAGAAAGAAAACGTTATTTGTTTTTGCATTATATAAGCAGTGTTGTATTTTACTGATAGCCGGGTGGAAGAGGTGGTAGGAGAAGCTTTCCCTACAAGACCATTTAAAACTGTTACCTTGGGATTAATCGTATTCCTAACAGAACGACAGGTAAACTCACTAAACATCTGGCTTGAACAATTTACAGCTAAGTGTGGTCACAATTAAAAAGAGTCTGGTATTAAACATCTTAAGACCACTAACAGACCCTGAAATTGAGATCTTAAAAACAAAGCTTACCCGGCCAACAAGAATCGGTTCAGGTCCAGAAAACTCTTCCAGGACAAACATTTGATTCCAAACCCAGCCTCTTTTGGAGCGGTTCAAAATTCGCTGTTCTTCACCCAGACTGTTTAGTTCCAAAGGGGATCCACTCATTAAAACTTGAGACTGATTCATCGGAGCCATGTAAATGCAAGGGGGAAGAGTAATCCATAATATTATTAATGGAGTCCAGAGATCCAAGAGCATTTCCGCTAGCCGTTCTGGCATGGTCCCACCAGTTAAGCAAATCACCACGAAAATGAGACAATTATTTTTTTTGTCTCCGGTCTGCAGCCATCCAATTCATCATGCAGTGCCGAGCATTTACTTACAGCTCTGCCACGTGTCTATAGCACGGGAAACAGACATCATCTAAGCAGCTTTTCTAAGACCACAATCCATTGGCTTTTCTTTTCATTGAAATTTCCTGCAAAAACAAGGAGGAAGAAAGATAAGGGTCTACTCAAACTGGTTTTAAAATAAAATCACTGCTTTTCAAAAGCACCTGAAGTGAACAATAGTAGGCACTTCTCAAACTCTTGAGTTAAGAAAGTGGATCTGAAGAATTAGAATAAGTAGCCTAGTAAGTCCTTTAATTTTTAAGCTTTATTTAGATTTTAGCTTTCATTGGTAGCTATGTGACCTATCAGAAACTGGTTTGCGTAATAGAAGTTCTCTTTTTCCTCCTTGCTTCTTTCTTTCCCATCTCCCTCTCTTCCTTCTTTTCTTCCTCTTGACTTTCCTCCTCCTCTGTCCATCCCTTCCTCTCTCTTTCTTCCATTCTTTTTTGTTTTAACACTTCAGGGTGTATGCTAACACAGCCCACTTGTCGAACACACTGTAGGCCTTTTATTCTTTCTTTCTTTGTTTTTCTTTCTTTCACTTTTTTTTTACCTGTTTAAAAGACACATTTTAGTTCCTTTTATGCTAAACTCCATGAAATAACTAGCTTTGAATTAACAACATTAAAAAAATATAAATGAGAATGGGAAGGGGAATTTACCCCAATTTTTACAATCTTAGCTTCCAGGATTCATCAGAAGGGATTGCCCAGTTCAGGGTGCAGAATGCAATCCTCTGCCAGGATGCTAATAATGAGTGAATAAAATTAGAATGCTCCCAGAGAAAAATTCTGTAATGTCCAGCTTGTATGCTATAATCAGGACAGTGTCAGGGTCCCCATTCTAAATGTACAGTTAAACAGGAGATTTAAATTGTGGAAATCCCCCTTGGAAATAAAATATGGTAACAAATGTAATGTTCAACTGAAGAGATTCAGAAAGGCAAGGGCACAAAAAAATCCCCATTACCTGAGGTGTCAGATACATTTTTTGCTTACCCTCAGCGTGGCAAAATGTGTTTCTTTACTCTCAAAAAAAAATATTTTTAAAGAAATAATGTTCACTGCAGATCCAAGAGAGAAGCTTTGCTGAATTAGACTAAATGGGAAAATAAGTTCTCAGGACACCCTCGGGGACAGTGTGGCTCAGGGAATTCATAAAAGGGGAGGAAACCTTTCACCTCTAGGTCTCTGGTTCCATTCTGGCTCAGAATAAGAAAGCTAGAAAGTCATTAACATTAGCTGGGCTGGTGAGTGGCCTTACTGAAGCCAGCTGAAAGGGGCAGACCCAGATTGTACTGCAAGTACAGGCAGTATCTGATCTAACAAGATGGCCAGTAGAATCACCCTGCTTGTCATTCTTTGCCTGGGCTCAGCTCAATCACCGGGACTCTATAATTTAAAAGGGCTTAACCTGATGAGTATAGAGGAGCCACAGCAAGCAGCAGTTGCTTTGGAAATGGAAGACAAAGAAAACAGCTTTCAATGGGGAGCCAATACAGAGAAAACGGAGTCCAGAACAAAGTCTCCTCCTTTCCCTGGAATTGCAGAAAATCTTCGCCTTAAAACAGATTCCCCTTAAGTCTTTCTCTCATCCCAGTGTGTGAGCAGACCTTGGCAGGCTTCAAAACTTAAACTAAACAAAATTCAAAAAGCCCCCATAAAGAAACCCCCAAATATTTGTATCTTTCTGAATGGTCAAGCCACTTATTACTTTAACAGCATTTACAGCATACCCATGCTGTGCTCTCTCTAGACCCGAGCGAGAAGTTGGTGATAAGGCATCTTGTGTGTGCTGAGGACTGTCTGTTCTGGAAACAGATACACCTGGGTTTGGATCCCAGCTCACCCTGCTTGCTGTCTCTGTAATGATGGACAAGATAGTCAAGTTTTCTGACCTTCAGTCTTTTCTTCTGCAAAGTGGCATTAATAATAATTCCTACCTAACGGGACAATAGTGTGGTTCAGAAATAAGACACATGTAAACCAGCCAGATCATGGGAAATACTTGGTAAACTGGAATCCACGTGGTTATCCTGGGCTAGATGTGTGGTGATGACAGGATTCCTGCCCTAGAGAGGCTTTGAGAAAACAAAAAAAATGAATGAGCAGAGTGAAGCTATGTAACTTCTGCAGTAAAAGTTGGTAAGGTATGAGGGTGTCACAAAGTTACGCAAAGATCTTCCCTATGGTGGAGGATGAGGATGGTGCTAGAGGGGAAAGACCTGTGCCATTTAACACACATGGGGAGATCCATTCTAGTCATGGAGGCTCAGCCTAAACTTCTCAGAGAAAAGGGACTTAACTCTTTCCAGTTCTCCCCTACTCCATGATAGACCATACTTGAATGTGCAAAAGCCATGTATGTTATTCTCCAAAGGCATAAGTTTTGTTTGTTTATTTGTTTACTCAGGCTCATATTTATGGGCTCAAGTGATCCTCCTGCCTCAGCCTCCAGAGTAGCTGGGCGTGCACCACCATGCCTGGCTAATTTTATTATTACTATTATTTTTAGAATTGGGGGAGGGGTTGATCTCCATCTCGAACTCCTCACCTCAAGTGATCTTCTCACTCCAGCCTCCCAAACAGCTGGGGTTACAGGCATGAGCCACTGTACCTGGTTGGCCTGGGTTCTACAATAGCAGAACAATGAGATGGTTGTGAGAATGACCTCTAGTGTCAGCCTGCTTGGGGTTTGAGTTCTAATTCCTACACTGACCAGTTGTATAACGGCGGAGGGAGGGATAATTAACAACAATAGCAATGAAACAATGATAATAACACTGATCTGACAGGTTGGTTTTGAGGACTAAAGGAGATACTCATGGTACGTCAGATAGGATAGACTAGCATGCACAGTTCTTTAAAATTTTGCCAAACACTCTGCAAGTATACTCTGGCATCTGCTTTGTTGCTAATGACTCTAGGATAAGAAAATTTCATCTAAATTTAAATTCATAATAGACATTTTCATGGAAACCACCAAGCAGCAATGAGGATGGACTGTGGTATGTTGGATGGACTGCAGCATTGATTGCAGTGAGTTCCCTCTACCTGAACTCACCAGAATAAGTTAAAAAATGATAATAGACTCTGGACCAATGTTATGCAATGGCATAGCTGGACTAGTCAGGATAAGTAGGTTAATTAAAAAGGGGATACGTGTGTAGTCACGAATAGTATCCACTAACACAATATCTTACTGTTAGATAAAGCATATAATGCCTTGCTTTGTTGTGTTCAAAACTGAGGCAGAGAATAATGAAATGATTTACTCAAGGAGCACTTCTAAGTAAAGAGATAACCATTATTTGAACCTAAGTAATGTAATTTCAAAATTCTTTTTGAACAAGACCGTTCCTCTCACTGTAGAAATATTTCATGAGCATATACTGTATGTCAGGTACTGGGGAGAGAAAGGCAAATGGGTCAGAACTGCTCTCTTCAGGAAGCAAAGAATCTGTTTGGCAAAGATAAAGAAATACATAAACAATTCACTGAAACGTAGTCTTAGAAGGTTTAAAAGAAATACAGAGTGATGGGTAAGCCACTCATATTGGCAGCATTAAAGAAGGTTTCCTAGAGGGGATGTCATTTAAATGTCGAAATAGAATTAACCAACTGAGAAGGGGGTATAAGTGAAAGAACATTTCAGTCAACCAATGGATACAAACAAGACCACCAATTAATCTAGGATCTCTGAATGAATCAGCATCTAAGGTAATTTTCAAATTATTATTTGCAGAATCACCCAGTCCATCGTCACTCCATCTTTTTTCCTACCCATCAAATTCATAATAATGATGGTCTCTACAGAGTACATATTAAGTATATAGCCCTTTCCTCTGCCAGTTCTTTGTGAAGAGAAGAGCATGTTTGATTTCTCCAAAGGTCTAGCCATATACCACAGAGAGGGTGTGAGGGGCAACTGAGTGCTATTCCCGTGCAACTTCCCAATTTTCAGGGGTTTCTAGGGGTGAGATGGCCAATACCCTGAAGTCAATGGTATAGCCCCGGGGAGAAATTAGCCCAACTCAGGGGAAACCTTTCATCCACATAGGTCATTCCTGTCACATCGTCTGTAGGGAGCTTCTAGAGACTGAAACACTTATATGCCATCTCTTAGATTTTGCCAAATTCTTAAATCATCTGTATTATTACTTTAAATTTTATTGAAATAGACTGTTTTTGAAATATTTATTTTTAAATGGAAAGCTAATATTATTTTCCATAATGGAATATAACTTTAAAATTACGAGGTTAATAGCAAACACTTAGGAAGTACTCAGATAATATTAAATCATAAAGAACTATACATACACAGATATATACATATAGATTCATATCTATTCTTCAAAATAATATAATATTATTATTACTTTATTATAATCATTCTCATTGTAGAGATAACCAAATTAAAGTACAGGGAGATTAGTATTTTAAGTAATGTTTCATTTTTACTAAACCAGACACTGTTAAAAGCCTGAGGTCATCTCACTATTTGCTAAAAAGAAAGACCAGCAATAGTTAGAGGCAGACTGGTTAATATTTAATAAGTGGCTCTTTGAAAGAAAAAATTCTGATTTGTAATGTTTTCTGATTTTCCTGGTATAAATACTTCCACCATGACCAATTTTAAGCTTCCGAATGACCATTAACCAGCTCTGAAAATTACTGAAAATTTAACCATCAGCTCTGTTAAAACCCAATAAAGAGCCAATGCTAGCACACCTGTAGTGGGGTGCTTCTCAAATATTAACGTGCATCCAAATTACCTGGAAATCTTGTTTAAACACAGATTATGAATCACTTAGGTTAGTGTGGGATTTGAGATTCTGCATTTCTTATAACCTTCCTGCAGTGCTGATGCTACTTACTGATTTGAAAACCACACTTTGCGAAGCAAGTAGTTCTACAGAAGACCAGCTCGCAGCTCAGACCTCCTAGAGATAACCTAAAGGACTCAGTGGTGTGGTGGAAGAGTCACTTCCTCATGTCATTGAATGTCATGCCATGAACTACTTAACCACCGCTGTGAATAAAGGACTGAACACATGGATTTGGGGAAACCTTGAACTAGGGTATATGAATATATGCAATTTTATATGATGTGACAATACTTTCCTCTCCTCACAGATCTATTTTATGTGAGGCACTGGGAAAATTGCTGAGCTAACTGGTGTGTTCACAGGCACATGCATGCTATCAGGGAGAGTTGAGACTTGGTCTTCAAGGCAATCCTGCTAATTCGAGAGGGATGGGACTCTGCTGTGACACTTGGAACCACACTATTTGTATGCTTGTACCTCTGCCATGGGCAGACTAACACTGTCCTCTTAGAACATCAGAGAATGGCTTTGTAGAAACTTGTGAGATGCAACTGAGTCTTATGTCAGTGTTATCAGTATTAATTAATAACTGCGAATAGTAGCTGCATACACAAACTGCTTAACTTGATGCAAGGAAGAAGAAATTGAGCAAGGTTGTAAAGCTGGGGTAAAAGAAATCAATTTATTTTTACATTTTCCAACCACAGTATGTGTGTCTGACAAAGCAATCTACTTTATTATAATGCTGCTGCATTGATTTACACTCAGATAGTGAGATGAAGAGATTTTACAGTTTCTCTGGAATTCTTACATATACGAAAGTCTTTAGAATTCCCCCATATGATGATATATTTTCCTGGGTAAAATACTTAAAATCTGACTTTTCATTCATACTTACATTTCAGAGATAGTTCTAATTACAGCCTGAATTTCACTCTGCTGATTCCAACATTATTTTAAGATGAACTCAGTCAAGTCACGGATATATAAGTCATTATGCAAAAACATATTACACCATCCGTTTTGTAAATAATGTGGATTAAAGTTCAAAATGATGAACAACACACTGATAGGTGACGTCTAAAACAAAAACAGGCTTTTACAGACACTTCAGGATTCAATCCAGCAGATTATTGTGGTTGACAGGAAACTATGCTTTTATTATCCACTAGGCTTAGCAGCCACAATATTTCATGAAAGCAAAAATGACACAGAGGACCAGTGAGTTTCTATTAAAAATGTTTCTGACCTTGAATTTAGAGCCATTAGCAGCCTGTTTCAAAACAGGTAAATGCACATTGAATTCAAAGTGGTATTTCACGAAAGCAGGGGGTGGCGATTCAGTGTGTGACCCAGAGCAATTCACCCAAGCCCTGGCTGAATGGGGCTGAGCAGGTAGAAAAAGCCTTTGGATTTTAGAGAGGAAATACACTTGCATTTATTCAAATATAAATAATACAGGAAGATCACCTTTCCTAAAGCCTTCAGAATTCTCTAACCAGATTCCCTTGGCAGAAACATATTCTGAAATTGTTTATGTAAACACACACACCCACACACATACACGTGCACATATTATTTTGTGTATCCTTCACTCAGCCACAACCCTTCCGGTCATCCTTTCTGGCATCAGACCACATATTTATCCAGATGTCAATCTGTCCAAAAGCATATTGTTTGCTTGTTTTGACATCCAGAATAATATCTGTCAAATCCATTTTTTTTTTTTTTTTTTTTGAGTTGGAGTTTCACTCTTGTTGCCCAGGCTGGAGGGCAATGGCACGATCTCGGCTCACTGCAACCTCTGCCTCCTGGGTTCAAGCAATTCTCCTGCCTCAGCCTCCTGAGTAGCTGGGATTAGAGGCACCCGCCACAATGCCCGGCTAATTTTTTTTGTATTTTTAGTAAAGATGGGGTTTCACCATGCTGGCCAGGCTGGTCTCAAACCCCTGAACTCAAGTGACCCACCTGCCTCAGCCTCTCAAAGTGCTGGGATTACAGACGTGAGCCACCGCGACCGGCCTCAAATCCACTTTTTGCTCTGTTACTGCCATGTTACTCCTCTCTACCTGAAGTTTTTGTTTTCTTTAAGTTCTATAATTGCTGGTTTCCTTTGCAAAAATCAATAAATAAATGCCTCTCCTCCTCCTTCTTTCCCAAGGTAGAGTCACAAGTTTATTCTTCACGTAGAAATTTTTCTGTTACAGAAATTTCAGAATGGGGTGACTAAGCCAGTGACAAAGACAATAAAGTCAAAATAAGATCTCTTCTCTAGTGTTCTAGAACCAGACCTTTACTTAGAAAACTTTCTTGGAATCATCAGTTTAGTTAAGATATTGAGAGTAATTTTCTTCTGTTGGGCTTTTTAAAGGCAAACCAGTATCAAGATCATCCTAAAAAAAAAAAAACGAGTATCAGTCCCACAACTCCCTTGCCAGTTACAGACACAGTGGTGGCCAGAAAGTCATTTCTCGAGTCTAATCTAAATCCCTCCTTCTTTGAAGTCACGCCCTTTGCAGTCTTTAGATCACATGTTCAGAATTTAACAGCCAGAGACCTACTGAGTGACAACATTTCGTGCAGGTCCTTTAAATCATAGCAATCAATCAGAATCAACCTTCTTCTTATCAACCTTGTAATTCAGCCGAACTGTGGAAAGCCCCATGAGATAGCTGTTTAGAGCATTGACTCTAGAGTCAGATAGAAGTAGTCTGAATCACAGCTCTATCGTTCATGAAATAAGTCACCTGGGCACGTTTATCTTATTTGTGGCAGGTGAAGAAACTGATGCTCTGTGTTTAATACTACCTACTTTGAAAGATTAAGGAAGAAATAAATAAGGTAATTTAAAGTCTTTGTCAATGTAGCTATTGTAGTAACTATTTATTGGATGTTTCGAGTGCTTAACCGAAAATATTTACTGATTTTTAAAAATTATTTTATTGCAATCTCTTGCTGTGTATGTACTTCAGTGGGGAAAATTCCAATGTTCTGTGTAGACAGGTAATAAGTAAAGTAACTTTTTTAAACTCTTGATTTGTAAAACAAAAATGGCATGAACCAGGGTGGGTATAAATAAAATAGCATTTTAGAAATAGCTTTCCCTCTCCACAACTAACATACAATTAAAGCAATGACTTCGAGTAGTTTTATTAAGCCTCAGAAGGGCTGCATTTTTACTGTCCAGAACGAACCACATCTTTCCTTCCCATAGAAGACATGACATTGTCCATGACTATTTTCTGCCGAGAGGACAGAGTACAAGCACTACCTGTTCATGAGTGAGCTATTCTCTTTCAATCAAACTGTAGCCGCTCATTAAAAAACATTGCCTGGTACATATCTTTTACAAGATAAATTCCATTGCACTTCATAATCATCTACATTCCTGTGAGGACAGCACAAGTGGAAAGTCTCTACTAATTCCAAGATGAATCCAAGGTGATAGCTATATACTACTTAGAAGGGAGCTCAGAGAAGATAATGCTCGTCAGAGATTGCAACTAACTTTTTCTATTTATTTCAAGAAACTTTAGCATTGATGACAGAAATTAGATTTCTCTTCTCACTTAAGAAATGTGGAAATGGTTAAAATCACTTACATCCCATAATGGGGGCTTCAGAGTCTCTTATACTGAAATTGAAATGCAGCCAACGATCCTAGTATAAGTCATCCAGATTCTGCCAATTAGATTACACTGTGTAGTAACCATGCTTACAAGTGCACCTTACTGTCACTCTTTCATGCTTCTAAAACTTTATAGCTTAATAACCACTCACTGACACTTAACGTGAACTACAGACACAGGTGATGGATGAGTAGACAGTCAGATAGACAGCAAGCAATTATTTGACAAAAATACTATTGAGTTATGACCCAGAATGTATAATTTATGAAAATTAAGGGAGTTGCTTATGCAGATTCCAAAATACGTATACAATCTTCAGCTACTATAGTTTAGTGACACTCAAAGGCAAGAGAAGATATGTGTTTTAACCCTCTGATAAAAATAAGTATGAATTGTTTTTTGTTTTTTTTTCATTTTTCTGAGCATCCCCATGTTGAAGATGGGAATAGTTAGACACAAATGTGAATTCTGTTTATAAAGCTCAACCAGCAACAGACTAATAAAGAAGAAAATGTGCCTTCGTACTTTATAAATCAAATTTTGGAGATGAATCTTCTTACATAAAAAGGAAATAATTTCCTTGTGATATTTATACCATTCCTCCATCTACTTATTTTGTATCATTTATGTCACATCTAGAATCAAATAATCATATTTTATTCATTAATCTATCTAGAGAGAAAAAGACATGGAAAATATTGTTCTGACTGCAAATGAACTATAAATATACTGTAATATTTTCACTTGATGTACATAAAAAAGAGTAAGGGGATTCCATTTAATATTCCTTTGTAATATCTTCAACATGCCTAAAATATCAATAAACACATCCACAAAAGTACCTTATCATGGCACACTATTTTTCCCTGTGTCTATATGTGAGGGCCAGGTATCCTGCTGATTAATACAGAAGAGTATGGAATTGTCTTTGAAAACACCCATAGTTGCAATTCACATGAGGGTAAGGTGAACTGTTCAATTCAAATACAAAAATATATGAAAGAAAAAGAAGGAGGGCAGGAAGGAGAGAGGAAGTAAATTAATCCTTAATTATTTTTTATACATTCTCAACAATGTACAGACATTGAGTCACCCATGCAGCAACTCCACAATTAGTGCATTTTTTTGCCAATAAAATATAACTTTGCATCAAATATAGTTTAATAGCATTCTTTGATGCAAGTCTAGTCTTGGAGGCATTCTCATTTTTACAAAGCTGAATTATGTCATTTTTTATATTCCCATATCATTTAAAAGATGATTGTGAGAGAACAAAAATATGCTTTGTGGAACATGAGTAAGATTGATTTGAAAAAATGAGAAAAGCTGTGACTAAAAATAGACTTAGGAGGACTTATGAAATTTCTGCAGAGAAAATTGTGGTAGATAAGTCAAAATATTGAACTTTGGATATGATTGTATCTCTTTCTTTTAATGAAAATATGCTAGTGTAGGGTGCAGGGTCTTTGCTAATTTCTTATCGCATAAAATAAATATTTACTGAGCACTAACTCTGTGCTTAGCCCTGAACCATCCATCGTTCTAGCATTTGCAATTGTCTTTGGCAGTGGAGGCAGAGAAAGAAAACTGTTTGAAGGTTCCAAATATAAATGGTATTCATTTATGATACTTTCCAAAGAGATACAGAAAATCACATCTATATACTTCTACCTACTAAGAGAACTTAAACACACACACCCACAAACACACACACACACACACACAAGACATCCAAGCAAGAGGATGGATATTGTTTATGATAGGAAATAGCACATGACATTTAAAACCCAGGAAATAAAGCTTAAAACTTGATAAGAAAAAGAAACAGTATTGGCCCCGGTGCTTTGCCATGAAGCAACAGAGATTTAGTTAGCGGCAACATATGGTAGAAGCAGCTAAATGGCATCCCTTGAACTTATTTCTTTTCTGACCTTTTGAAGTTGCCAGGTTCAACTAATTTTCTCTTCATGGTTACATCTAAAGCAGCTTCCAGAGACAGGAACAAACAGTTCAGCAGAAATAGATTCGCATCACAATTTTCTGTAAGAATGAATTGAGAAAGCACTAATAGCCCTTTGGTTAATTAAGCCCTGCTAAATCGGATGATGGCCTTTGTCCATCAAAAAATTGTTCTATTTCATAAACATACGTGTATTAGATACTGGAGGGGAATTCCCAGCGCCACAGATAACATTTTTTGAAAGACTGATCAATATACAAATCAGAGTAGCCAGAAAGGCAAATCAAATAATCTAAGGCAGATGAAATGGCAAAGGGAACATGATAAAAATCTCAGACTTGAGCCAATAAATGAGTTCGTTATCTGGGCACATTTTCAAGAAGCATGCTGTGTATATGTGTGTGTGTTATTTGCGTGCGTGTGTGTGTGTACATAATACAGAGCAACAAGAATTATCATTGGTTTATCTACACCCTCCCACCCTGAGAAGTGTATAACACACCAAAGTTAGGACGTTTTTCTTAATTAAAAAGCAAAGTTAGACCATTTCCTCTGTGAATGCCAATAGCGCTGAAAACAAAAAGAAAATTGTTTTTCTCCACCAGCTACACTGAATAACTTTGTAACAAATATAAAATGACTGAAACCAGTTTCAGCAGCACCACTGAGCAGAATATTTTCAAAAAGAAGTCTTCGGACCTTAAATTGCACCTCTAATAGAAAGGCTTCTCCGATTATGCTTGTCCCTTGATTTGCCAGACACAAAAGTTTGCGGATGGACCAGAAAAGTGTGGTTGGAAATACGAATTGAATGTCACTTTACCCCTTGAAAGCCTTTGGTTTTGCATGGAAAATCTGCTCAAATTGGAATGTTGATAAAGCCGTGAGGTGTGCCACCTTGAGTAGAAAAATAACAAAGATTGTCATTTTTTTCTTTAAAGCATTAATTTACCTACATTGATGACGTTTTCTGAACAGCTGTTGAAGTGTGGGTTTGAACTTTTTAATATGTGCATGTTCTTTTTCCCCACCAATAAACAATGAAAGGAACCTGGAAAGCAAAGCCCAGAGGTACAATTTCTTGAATAGAATCATTATATTCTCATTCTTTGGAGTTTCTGTGCTTTGTTCCAACAATCTGTTCCTCCTGACTAACAAGCAGTATCAGACCTTTGAGTACATTCACATCAGTCTTTACAAATGCCTTCTCAAGTGGTCTTCTCCATCCAGCTGAGCATTCCTGGGCTGTTTGTTTGTTTTGTTTTACATCGATCATGCTGCCATTGGCTACTTAAATTGTGTTCAGTGCTAATTGAGGGATTGCTATAAATGAATACTGTGTTGACCACAGTTCTACATAATACCCAAATAAAGTTGTTTTCCAGTGTAAGGAATTCCTTCCCTTCAGAGTTGACATGTCTACAGCAGGCAAATGGAACTGCTATTCTAGTGAAGACTGCTATCAAATTTTCTGTTCTTTTAGCTAAATTCATGCAGCTTCAAGAACTCAAGAAATGCATCCTACACACCAGAAATGCAGCCAAGAAATGTTACAGAGTCTTGAATGTAGAGATTTACCCATCTTGAAGGCTTTAAGAGACTGTAAATGATAAAGCAGAAGCACTGATTTCTAACAGTAATAATAATTAGTAATGTAAGAACCAATTTGCAGGGAGAATAGATTAAAAAGTTTGAATGACAGCATTACAGCACAAGTTTCAGAGCACATTAGCCAGTGTCTCTAAAACATTTGGCCTATTTGCGATGGTCAGGGGATAACTTGACATTCACTTGGGGAGTGTGGGGATCAGAATGAGGAAGGTGAACTGCCACGGAAGGGCTCTGAATGAAGCAGTCCCCGGAGTTGCTGGAAAGACTCCCCTCTCTGTTTTCAGAGGGATTTTCCTCAACTCCTCGCCTTCTTCAGAGTCCAGAAAAAAAAAAATCAAAGGCGATTTAAAATACTGTGACTGCTCCAGCATGAAATGACTATGTGACAGCGAGCTTCAAATCTGCTAAAGCAGAATTACAGAATATTATTATCAGAATTATTATTTAATAAGGGGGATAGCTCTAGAATTTATTCCAGCCACAGAGCTCGGGGAAGTGGAAAAACATGTCTGGACATGATGATTATGGAGAACTCCCTTTAAGGGAAAAAGAATGTAACCCTAAGAGAACATCCTTCAAAGGTACCACTTCTCTCTGTAGAAGAATCCCACTCCCAGCCCCCACCTCATATATATATCTCTCTCTCAAACACACACACACACACACACACACACGCACACGAAGAAATCCCTGCAACACTGGACACAGCTGATGCAAAGCAATATCTAGGCAGGGATTTTACTGGTATTTAGCATGAACGACAGGGCTCACTTTGCATGCAGTGAGGTGCAGCAGCGAGGCTGAATGGATGGAAAATCCCACTTTCGAATCTTACATAAACATCTTTCCCACATATAGTTTTCCAGTTGAAAAGCTCCTATAATAAAGCCTGAGGTGACAGCCCAAGGAGGGTTTTTAACCATTGAGATGGCTGTCAGGAGTGTTGTAAAGAGAACAGGCGCTTCAAAAGCCAGCCCCCATCCCTCGGATCTGCTTTGCGATGGTACCGGATGCGAGAGGACAGTACTCTCGCTTACCTTCCCTAGCGTCCCCTCGTTCCCATTGTCAGCCCCCAGATATCATGACGCCAGGTGAAAGAAAGCAGCTGATCTGATTAGCAGCTCGGGCGCGCTAAGGGATTGTCGAATCATGCCTCCTAAGGAGGAAACTCTTGTGGAATCTTCAGGAAAGGGTGGTAAAGTTGAAAGGACCTTTCCTCCCTCCCGCTGTCTTGGTGATAAGCTCTATCGTTTAATTGGTGCTGAAGTGAGCAGCTGCCAGCCCGATTTTCCATTACGGACTAATATTGTGCGTTTGCAACAATAAACAATTAATGTGGTTTGATTTCTTACATTTAGCAACCCAAGCAAACAGCTGCCATCTCCGCTGGTGGAGGCAAACGGCTAGTCCTTGACATGCCGCCGGCTCCGTGCCTGCGGGGGAAGGGTCAACCGCAAGGAAACTTTGAGGATTCTGCCAGACTGGGTGGGGGAAGGCTCTGGTGTTTGGGAGGAATAAGCGGAGGAAATTGTGGATACCTGTTGGCATCAGCGTTGGCGGCAGCACGTTTTTTTACCGTTTCCCAGCCTTGGCTGGATCCTGGGAGAACCGGAGTAGGTCCCTTATGAACCTCTTACGTACTGGCAGAACCTAGGCAAGAGCCTTTTTCCCTCCGATCCTGCGAGGGGCGCGACCAGCCCCTCAAAGGTTCCCGGATGAGAAGCGGCCAGACCACAGAAAGCGCAGGTCTGGGCTCAGCTGTCCCTAGGAGAGCGGCTACGGAGTCCCCGGCTTAAGGGGGCCTCCGTGCACGCAATCTCGAGTTGCGGGGAGACACTGCCTGGGGGTCCTGCAGGGGTGCTGGGCAGCGTCTTGGCGAGGGCAGAGCCGCAGGGCGACTCCGGAGCCCGGCAAGTTTGTAGCGGGCACCGCACCTCCCAGAGCTGGAGCTGCCACTTGTGGGAAAGCCTCGCGCTGGGGCTTTCGCAGCTGAGCCTTGGCCCGCAGCCCTGCCGCGGGGGTCGCCCTCCCTCGCCTCGGAGATGAGGCGGTGCAGAAAACCAGCCATAGACCACTCGGGCCCCCTCGCCTCCTTTTTTCCCTGGCTTGCACCCTCCGCACAGCGGGCTGCAGGTGCTTCCCATTCACCGCACGGACCCCGCAGTGAAGGCGCGCGGCTGCAGCCGCGCCTGCCTGCGTTGGGAAGCGGCGAAATAGCCAAGTCGCCGCAGGGAAGGAAACCGGCAGGAAAACTGGAGGGGCACAGCCTGGAGCTTGCTACTCTCTAGGATCTGTTGTCAAAGCAGTTTGCAAAAACAGTCAGGCAAAACCTTGAGGCGTACGTACGTTATCACCCACGGATATCGCGAAAGACACAGCTTAGCCCAGAGCCTATGCTAAGAACCCTCATCCACCATCTGAGGGGCAGGAGGCGCGCAAGGTGTCCGAAGGGGCATGGGAATTCCTATAAGAAACGGTCCCTTCTGGATAGTCGGAACATAGAGGAAAACGGGGGTGGGTTAGGGGAACACTTACTCTTGTGGGGCCCTGCGCTGGCGAATGTCAAGCCTCCAGGTTCACAAATGGCTGGAGGTGCTCGGGGTTAGCTCCCGAGGGCGGCAAGCGCCGACCGGTCCTCGCTCGCTAGGCAGGCGCCTCCGGATTCCGTTCATGCCTCTCGGAGCTACAGGGCTTGGTGCGGAGACGCAGGGCGGGCGCGCTGGGCTCTGGGTGTCCGCAACCCAAAGTGCAGCTGGTGTCTTGACGCTACCGTCTATGCACAAGCCGGCGGCGGCGGCGGAGCTTGGAGGAGGCAGGGAGATTCCAAATAAATCCACTAATTCTGGGCTGAGCGCTCCGGCGTGCGAGCCCGCCTGCCTGCCAAATGTAACTGTGAAGTGATGTGGAAAAGTGAGCCGGGTGCCTCCCCTGACGGATCTCATTGGGCAGAGCGCAGAGGCAGGTCTACCACTTGGAAATTCATGTAAGCAGTCCCCCCTCCCCGCCCCCTCCCCGCCTTCCCCCTTCGCTCTCCCGCGCTGGCTCGATCGCTCTCTTTCCCCCTACCCAAGTGGGCGCACAACTTTTCGCTCCTCGCTCCCGAGCAAGCCCCGCGCGTCTCTGCCGCCAGAGCCACGAGGTGAAGATGCGCCCTTCCGCGCGGTGCGCGCAGCCCGCTGAGGACCGAGCTCCTGGATAAGTGGGCTGGCAGATAATAACAGCATGCGGATGAGGTACCTGCGAGCTTTCTCTCTAGAGGTCTCACCTGAGCTCTGGGGCTGGCGTTATGTTGAAAAGCGTCTCAGTGACCCGCAGCTATTTTCCGTAGGAGGAAGAGGACGCGACAGGGCAAAGGGTTGAGCGTGGGCAGCTTACCTCCTCTTTATTCCAAGGGCCTCTTGCGTACAGAATAGGGTGATTGTGAGACCCCTGCCTGCAACTCAGACGCTATGTAGAGGCTGTGTGTCGCGGTTCTGTGATGGAGCGCATTCCTGATGTCCCCGTGCTCCTTTGGGAAAATGGGATGAGGGACAGCAGAGTGGCAGCCAGGAGGGGCGCGCAGTAGTTGGTTGTGGGGAGGAGGGCAGGCAAAGCAGAACTTGCTTGGGAAATAGGGGAGGAATTTCTAGGTCTTCTCAATGTGCCCTGATCTTGTCATATCCTCTCAGATACCATCCTTGCGGTTCTCCTGCCTCCACCAAGACCTGCCCTGTCTGTGGTCACTTCAAGTCTTCTGATGGGCTGCGCTCAGATCTTGAGAAATGGCCACCCTGGGGTAAAAGGGACCATGAATCAGGAGGTCCAGATTTCTTTTCTTTTTCAACACTGGGGCTAACATGTAGACGATGCCACAGTCATCATCTTCTAATAAAATTAGATAAATATAAGACAAATAAATTCTTACCTTAAAAAAAAAAACCCTCCCCTCCACAGGAGATCCCGATTTAGTCCCTTCCCTGTGTGCACTAGACGTGAGCCTGAGGGTGGATTTTACCATCTGGGGACAGAGCAAGAACAGAAGGGGGAAAAAGGTGCAGGGGACAAGACGCACAGTCTGTAGAGCTTGTACTGTCTCACTCAAATTAATGAGAAAGAGTGAACAGAATGAGAAAATAGGCACAACATGCTTATGATATTTATGCAAATTTGACATTTTTTTGTGTGCTGCATCTGACAACCCATTGTGAAATGTGAAAAAGAGTATTGGCTGTAGCTCTAATATCTGATTGTTTCATGTTCTAGCTGTCATAGGCAAGAAACTTAGTGGATTATTTCAGAGAGGGAGAGGTGAAGAGAACCAAGTGGTATTTTTTTTCCCCCAGGCAGTCACTAAGTAACTGTTTGTTCTCTTCTCAGACTGTGTCTGCTTACAGGGTATTGGAATTGGCTAATTCTGTCTTGGAAAAAGGAGCAGCAGTCAAGGCTCAATCAAATTATAACTGCTGCTAGACCAGACAGTCCCAAGTGGACAAAGAAATAGATCACATTTTGGGTTGTGCTTAATTTCAGATATTCATTTTCACTTGAACAAATAATTTGAACCGTTCCTTGGGGTAACTTCTTACATCTATGAAAACTCAAAAAAACTCATGTGCTACTGAAAGCTGGGGATTGTCACAAGTAACAAACTTGTCTCAAAAAAAAAAAAAAAAGCCAGATTGTTAGACAATATCCTCAAATCTCATTTTCTTAACAAACTATGCTGACATAGTAAAGATAGTCAGAATCCAATGGCTTTTAAAGAGAGCCAGAATCCAATGGCTTTGGGTATCTAGGGTTAAGAAGAGTTTGCTTTGACTCATCTTGTCCATATTTACTCTTACAGCAGTTATATACATTGTCTTCCCTGAATTTTGGTCCTCTGGAATTCAGGGTAACCTGTCTATACCTGCTAATATCTGCTCAAAGCGTTACAATAGGAATTTCCTGACTAATTCTTAAGAGAGGTTTGGATGATTAAGCAGTGTGATAGAGGATTAGGATAATGTTAGAAAGCCCTATAAGGATATTTCTAAAATAATCAGGGATGCTGAAAGACAAGGCATTTATCTCTTTAACAATTCCACCCACTCTTAATAAGATGCAGTGTAATGTCACAATGGTGAAAGCCTACCCCCTTAAGAAAGTGTTTTCTTTTCAACATCCTCTCCAGGGTTACAGCCTTCCAGCGGGAAGAGGACTGTGGTACATAGGCTTTTTAGAATGGCAAGTGAAATTGCATGTGTTGTGGAGCATTGCGGGGGAGGAAGGGTGAGGAATTATCTGATAGGGCAGGAGTATAATTGGAGAAGGAGTTGGGGGGAGGGAGAGAAGATTGCATTCAGAATAACCTTGGCTGACTAATGCAAAAAGTAGAATGAGGCAGGATGTCTCTAGCCTGGGTCTCGGTGACAGGCAGGCAGTTTTGCAGGGGAGTCTACTGTAGAGAGTGAATGAGATGGAGAGGGACTCCATGTAGTAAAATACACTTTTATTTTTTCACTATGGCTGGAATGTTTGTCGTAATTTTGACCAAGGGACACAGTAAACCAAGTGCCCAGCTAGTTGCAGAGTGGGGAATCAGATGGTTCATAGGAAACAGAGCTCAAGAAGAGGGAGACAGTGTTAGGAAGTCTCCAGCTTCTCTGGTTGGAGCAGGAGATGACAGAATGGAACATAACTATTATTTGCTGCGTTAAAATGCAATCTTTCGTCGTTTTCATTCATCAAGATAGAATTAAAAATTAAAACAAACTAAAAACAAAATGTATTTACCATATTATGATTACTGGTAACCTTTAGATTTATTGGATTGCTTGTAATGTGATATCTATGGTGCCAGGTATTATCATTTAAAATAAAATCTCAAGAATATGACATATGAAAAATGACAACTCAAATTACCATGTAATATTTTTCCAGAAATGAAGGGTCCCTTTCCTGTGTTTCATTAGGATGAAGATATCTGAAACCATGCCCTTTATTTGGGGTATGGGGCAAGGGTAAGTAATATGTAACAACTCTGGCATTAAGCTTAAGAAACTTAAATTTTATTTTGGATTCCAATATTGAAGCGTAAGTCATAAGAATTAAAACATTAAGAGAGAAGTTTTGGGGCTGGGCATGGTGGCTCACACCTGTAATCCTAGCACTTTGGGAGGCAGAGGTGGGCGGATCACAGGTCAGGAGACCGAGACCATCCTGGCTAACAAGGTGAAACCCCGTCTCTACTAAAAATACAAAAATTAGCCGGGCGTAGTGGCGGGCGCCTGTAGTCCCAGCTACTCGGGAGGATGAGGCAGGAGAATGGCGTGAACCTGGAAGGCGGAACTTGCAGTGAGCCACTCCAGCCTGGGCAACAAAGTGAGACTCCGTCTCAAAAAAAAAAAAAATAAAATAAAAAAGAAGAAGTTTTGAGAAGTTTGTAAATGTTTAAGTAAATTTAGGACAGCTTTTTTGTTTATGAATTTGCTTTAAACCATTCTCTTACTAAGATTATGAGAAGTTATTATGGTGCTCTCATTAAACCAATGTGAGCAATTCTGGAGATTCCTTTAGACGAGTGGTTTTCAACCTGCAATCCGTGGACGAGCTCCTGCCTCAATATTTTCTGGAAATTTGTTAGAAATGCAAATTCTTTGACCCTGAATCTGAGTGGGGCTCAGAAATCTGGGTTTTAACAAATGTGCTAGGAGATTCTGTTACCTGCTAACATCTGAGAACACTGCTTTAGGCAATTTCTTTCTCTTGTGACATGTATAAAGATGAGAAGGAAAAAAATAAAATAGTGTATTGTGTTAATATTTACTGTTTTTGTCCCAGAATATTCTGTTTTAAGACAAAATACTATCTTAAAAAACAAGATTTGAAAAGAAGAATAAAAATGTAAGCACACTAAATTTATCGTCTGAGTACCTCACTAATGTTTAGTATGGGATTTGAAAAACTAAATTGATTTCTTTAGAAGTAGTTATGAATTCTTGACATAAAATCATCATTGAGCTTGCTATTCAGAGTTGTGATGCTCTACATTTCTTGGCTTGCTGGTTTTAGCTGTCCCTGAAATTAGGCCTGCATCTCTGAATATTGACTATAATTACTAATCTTGAGTTTGTCATTATACTTTCAGTAAATGGAGGTGTAAACACTTTCTGAAAACCACATCTGTGCTGAGAGCATTTTGGAGAAGGTTTTCAAAATGGCATTATCTTCCATCTTCCCAGGTACTAGAAAAGAGATAAGCTTCAATTCAGCTTCTGAACAGAAACTTGGTCGGACGGGCGGCGGGTGGGGTAGTAAATAGATTTAAGAGGACTGATACAAAGCTATCAAATAAGCCAGTCCAGGTTTTGTGGACTACACACTTAGCATATTAGTGTTTGGGTTTTTCTCTATCTTTTTTTTTCTTCTGTAGGAGAATAGCAACTAGATTAAGATTCTAGACCACTCTTGTTTAACTTAGGAGAAAAAAGGAGGAAAAAATTAAAAATAGTTCCCAATGTGTTCCAAGTAAAAAGAAGAAAGAAGAAAAAAGAGTAAGAATAAAAAAAGAAGAAAGAGGAGTAAAAAAGGTACCCCACTCCCTAAAATACTACTACTTTGGTATAACAGAGTGTATTTCATACTAAAATATAATAATTACATTTAATTAATTTTAAGTTTGGCTTAGAAGATTACCATTATTTGATATTTGCACACTTATACTAATGTGCCATTGCAGATATATAGGGGAATACAGATGTATGGAGGAGGGGAGGTGAAGGGAAAACAATTATCTTAATATGTGCAAAATGGAATTTATAGTTGTGATTAGTTATCAAGATGCTTATTAGAGAGAAGACCACATGTATATGCAGCGGACAAATGTTACAAGATATTGAAGGGAAATTAATTATTGAGAATGTGAACAGGCTTCTTTTATTAGTCAAAGCTGGATAATACTAAGGATTTTTGTTTGTTCTTTTGCTAAAGATGCTGCCATGTGGAAATCAGGGCACTGCTTTTAGGTTGCCGTCTCCCGCCTGCATAGGCAACTAGTCCTGTTAGAATGGATGCCGAAGCTTTTTTTCTTCTACCTCAAGTGCCCTCTAGCGTGCAATATCTGTGCATGTTGCTATGTACAAGGAGGAGGAAAGAAGAAAGAAAGAGAAATATTCTACCAATTGCTATCCTAATTCCTGAATTGCTCTGCTCTTCTTTTCTCCTTCCTCAAAGGGGTCATTTCCACCTAAGTGTTTAGCAAAACAAAAAAGGTGCTGTTGCTTTTGCATGAAAAACTAATCACTCATTCTCTAAACTGAGAAACAAATGCTAATCCTTTCTCAGGGGTTTCTTTTGAACATTCATCATAATTTTCCAGAAGTTTCATACACTCTAGTAATCAGGCAAATAAAAGAAGGTAAGTTGCTCCCTAGGAAGAAATTCTGTTTTGTTCCTCACTCCACCACGGACCAGCTATAAGGCTTTTGATGCAAAGTGATTAAACTTTCAATGGATTTTAAGTTTGTGTCTCCATAAGAGTGCATAATACTTCTTTCCATCCTCAGGGGGGTGGTGTGAGGTCTAACTGAGGTTTATAAAACAATTTCAGTTCCTTAGATACAATTCGATACACATTTGAACTTGACTTTCATCTTGCAACTACTAACGGGGTTTCAAATTCTCTTTGGTAGTCCATAGGGAAACTGTGATCAGGATCTGTATTTTCATAAACATGTCGTTAAAACAGCTGTATTGTAAATAGTGGATTTACTTAAGAGATTTGGAATGGTAGAAAATGGAAAAGGATATTTGCAGAAGAAAAATACACTTGTTTTTGCAAACATGTCTGTGTATGGATAAATATAGTTAAATAGTAAGGCAAAATTTCTGCAAGACATACATTTGGGCATATCTTCCTAAATTTTAAAACAAACTAACAATAACAGAAGGTATTTTTACTCACCCAGATGCCACCCGCTAAACTCTTAGTCTCTGAGAAAGGAGATACCTGTAAACAAATTTATGTATTGGCATCTGTTCAGATGGTAAGATATCTAGACACCTGTTATATAACTTGGAGATTACTATTATAGTGATGTGATTATTATGCAGCATTGTGTTTTATTAATATCCTCATAGCTACAATACTTTGAAGGGCAAGAAAGGAGAAAGGCAAGCTAACATGACATATTTCATTACTTTCTTCTCATGCAGTATCTCTTTAATTATTAAAGCACTATAGATGGTGGCTATCGTTTGTATCCTTTAAAATAGGAGAAAACTGAGGCTCAGAGAAGTTAAGTGATTTGTTCAAGGTTACACAGTTAATAAGTCAAAGAGTATAATTTAAACCCATGTTTTCCAACTTCAATTGTTGTCCAGCACTGCCTCTCAATATTAAACTACTAATAAGTGACTATTATAACCTACTTTTAAATAATGCAATACCTCACTATAGAATGGATTCATAAGTTGCAATGAAAAAGAAGCTAAACATTCTGTGTTTACAAAGAGAATCTGAATCTTTAATTGCAAGTGATTTTGTAAATATAGATCCCAGATTCCATGGCTAACCAATTAAATTAAACTCTCCAAAATAATGTGTATTTTTTTTAGAAAGCAAAAAAGGTAATTTGATTCAACATTACAAGCATCATTCTGGAGACCATTTGGAAATAATGAAACCAAATGACATCTAAAGTCTTGTTAACCTCCTTACTGCTAGAGTCCAAGGTTAAGTCACAGTTCTGCTATTGCTATTTAGGTTTGTATATCCCTTTATGTATGTTCAAGCACATCAGCTCTCCTATGTGATCCTTGCCATAATCTTGTGAGGTGAGAAGACGATATATTATTACTTCAATTTTATACAGTTACATGCTTTTAGAGCCCAAAGGGCCCTTAGAAATCGTCTAGTTCAATCTCTTCATTTTACAGAAAAAAAGCTGGGTAAGGCTTTTGACTTCTGAGCCTAAGGTTACAGAGCGAGCTCTTGAACAAAAGAAAACCAGAGCACAGGTCATTGGTCTTTAAAGGATGTAGGCATGGCACATGTCCCTGCACATGGGAAAAATTATTAAGCTAATAACCTGAGTAGTCTTCAACATGTAAAGTTAAAAGACTAGAGAAAACAAAACAAAATGTAGTTCAGGTACTCTGATCCAAATTAATGTTGTCTAGAGAAGATCTACTTTCTGATCTAGTTTCTGGTGAGATTACCTTGGCTCTCATCACCTAGTCTCTGTTCAGTCTAATAATATGTCTTGTCTTGGTTGAATTATTTTAGTACCCTAGAGTCTAGCTCACTAAGGTAGCCCCAAAGCTTTTTTCCAAGCAGATCACATGTGCTGTAGATTTTTGAAGCGAAGATTATTAGGAAATCAGAGGAAGACCACAACATAAGAAAAACAAAAAGTGCTCTCATATGCTCTAATGTACTGAAACTTTCACTGGTCTTTTCTGATAAGAAACCCAAACAGAAACCATAACTCATTTAAAATGGAGGTATGTAAGACTGACTCCTACATTATCCCAAAGCAGAGAAAAGCCGAAGTACATGACTTGTCCAAATTAGGAAACCTAATGAATTTTTTCTCATTTCTCCATTTTGCATAATAGTATTCTGGCTTTCTTCCCCAAAACAATCTCATTGTGTCCAAGCAGGGAACACCTTATTTTTCACTGGATTGTTTTCTGCCCCCAAATTACATAAGGCACATAATCACTTTTCTGGAATAGAAAATGATAATAAATGGCACTAGCAGTTGTAATTGGTATTCTTAACATCGAGGGCTTAATATCTTGCCAGGCACTATAGAGACTGATTTACATATGTTGTCCCATTCATTGTCTCTAATAACTCCCTGATTTGTCAGATGAAGAAACTGTGAAGGGAAATGTATTTTGCTTCTCTAAATCCCAATTAGACTTCTGCTTATCTCTCCCATATCACTTTATAATACAACCTATTTGTCATGTATGCACCAGCCAAACTACTTTATTTTTCTCAAGACTTTGAAAATGGTTAACTCCTTTATTTGTTGGTGGGAGAGTAAAACCTGCAAGGAAGAGCAAGGCATTTGGAGTCATATAGATCTGATTTCAAGTTCTGGCTGAACACATTACTAGCTCTGTGATATGGTTTGGCTGTGTCCCCACCCAAATCTTATCTTAAGTTTTAGTTCCCATAATCCCCACATGTCCTGAGAGGGACCCAGTGGGAGATAATTGAATCATGGGGGTGTTTACCCTCATGCTCTTCTCATGATAATGAGAGTTCCCATGAGATCTGATGGTTTTATGAGGAGCTTTTTCCCCATTTGCTTGGCACTTCTCCTTGCTGCTGCCTTGTGAAGGACATGTTGATTTCCCCTTTCACGATGATTATAAGCTTCCTGAAGCCTCCCCAGCCATGCCAAGCTGTGAGTCAATTAAAGCTCTTTCCTCTATAAATTACCCAGTCTCAGGTATGTTTTTATTAGCAGCATGAGAATGGACTAATACACTCTGTAAGTTGAACCAGCTGGTTAACCATGTTGATAATCTCTTTGAGTCTCATTCGCCTTTGTGTATAAGATATTTAACTCACAGGTTGTTGTATTAAAGGATGCAATGAAAGACAAATGTCTAGTTTTTGATATACATGTTGGTTTCCTCTCAAGTGAGCCCATTGATACTTACCTAAGAAGAGCAGATGGTTAGAGAATAGGTCCTTCTGTGATACCTACAGCTTGGCCACTCCTCTTAGAGTACCATTCTGTCTTGTGGCTACTGGGCATTCAGGCATTCATTCCACTCTCAATTAGCCCTTTAAATGTTCCACCGTTCTCCAGTATTTTCAGGGCTCCAGGCAAACCCTCCTTTCATCCTCCAAATCATCGTGTTCTAAACAGTTAATTCCTTGCACATGTAACAGCATATTTTCCTGGGGAATAAAATTGTGTTTTGTATTTTTTTTCTTTTTTTTTTTTTTTTTGAGATGGAGTCTCGCTCTGTTGCCAGGCTTGAGTGCAGTGGCACAATCTTGGCTCAATGCAACCTCCACCTCCTGGGTTCAAGCCATTCTCCTATCTCCACCTCCCGAGTAGCTGGGACTACAGGCACGCGCCACCACGTCCAGCTAATTTTTGTATTTTTAGTACAGACGTGGTTTCACCATGTTGGCCTGGATGGTCTTGATCTCTTGACCTCGTGATCCGCCTGTCTTGGCCACTCCCAAAGTGCTGGGATTACAGGTGTGAGCCACGGTGCCCAGCCAAAATTGTTTTTTTGTTTGTTTGTTTGTTTGTTTGTTTGTTTTGATTGTTTCTCTCTCTATTCCTTTTCATTAATATGAGACTAAAGGCAGCTAATGTTAGAAGAGGGATTGCTTCAGTTTCATAGTCTAGTAAATAAATATGGGTTAATATTTTGTATTTAATGACCTAAAGAAGAAATAAGGGAATCCTGAGGCATAAATGAGAGAAAGGAAAGTGTTAGGGCCAAGATCCTTGTGGGAGGAGAGGTCTTCTGTTTTTACAGGGAAACAGGCTCTGATACCAGTTTGCAGTCTGGAAACCACTCAAACTTACAGATGGAGGAAAAATCTGGCCACTGATCTTCATGCTAGCATTCAGAACATCTGGTGGGTGTGTTCTTGACCAGTCCAGGGCTACAGATGAGAAGTACCCTCTGAACAATGGATCTTCCTCATATCCATTTCCCCATTGATGAACTCTGTTGAGATTTTTTTTACCTATTCAGTTACCTGGAAGCTGTGGATCTTGGAGACTGGGTCTTAACCAGCCTTATACATGGGAAGGTCTCAAAGGAAAAATCTGGATGGAAATGCCTTGGTTGGAGCTGAAGAAGAGGGTCTGGCTTGTCCAAGAACTAGCAAGAACACTGTTTTTTGGCATAGATTTTAGGGCTCTTTGGATATGCATGGTTATGGTGCTGCTGGTGATTATAAAGGGGCTCAACCCCTTTACTCCAACTCCTTGGACTTGCCAGGAAGCTTGGCTCCATAATCTGGGGATTCAGTTGGGATCAGCTTATTGAACAGACCCCGAGCATAGAGAAATGACTTTTCCTCTCTTAGGCTACCTCCTTATGAATAGTGGCCATCTTATCTTCTAGATGGATCATAAATATGACATGTACTATTAAGTTTTCACTTACATCCATGCTTCCTCACTTGTAAGTCCTACTATGCCTTGCGCATATCTACAGCATCAGTCTCGATACACTGTCCTATAACTTTATGTTTATTTATCTTCCGCCCTCACTAGATTGATTTCGAACTCCATGAAAGCAGAGTCGATTATCCATATCTGTGTATATCCATATCTGTGTATCCCAGATCTAGCCCAAAGCCTCATATGTAGTCAATGTTCAGAAATTATATTATTTAAGATAACAAACCAATGAATATGACTGCAAGGATAACTATGGCACTATTGTCAGCAGTTAGCTAGAAATAGATCCAGATTTGGAGTTAAGAAAAATCAGATGGCCCAGCAGATTGGTGTGGGGAGCTCAATGAGAAAAACAGATTTCTCTGGAAAAGAAAGAAGGAGTAAAGAGGATGGCAAAATAAAGTGAAAAAAAACAAAACCAGAAAACTCAATCTTCTGGAGCAAAAATAAAACAGTGAAGATTAAGAGTGAACACAGGGGAACAATTCAAATTCCAAATGATGATTTGCATAATGGTAATACTAGTAGCAATAATAATTATAATGACACCAAGAATCAGTGAGAATCCATCTGTTTCTTAGTGCCTCATAATTTAGTACCTCAGTGTTTACAGAGCAATTTCTCATTCAGGATGTAAATGATCCCTCAGGCAGAGTATACTGCCTCCATTGCCTTAGACTCACAATGGTCATCTCATTCCAAAGATAGAGCGCTAAAATAGATTCCCAGAGTGCCTTCTTCCTCCAGAGCTAGGAGTTTCCTTTAAGACCAGAGAGAAGTATTTTATTCATTTATCTTTGAATCCTCAGTAGCACAGAAGAGATGCTCATACATTTTCGTTGATTTATCATCTTATATCTATCCCACAGCAAGCTCCAAGATAAATAGGTCCTGTCCTGTACCCCCATTTTTTAGATGAGAAAACCAGAGACATTTGGTCAGAGTTGAAGTTGGAAAACAAATCTGAGATTTTTGAAGACATTGTTTTTTTTTTCTGCAGTGCCATAGTATAGCCTAGAAAGATTACCAAGGTCACATTGCTTAATAATTACTTGTTTTCTGTTAGCAATTCTAAGAAAGCACATTCCTTTAGTATTCATATAGAGGACTAAAGAAATCTCATGTCAAAGTTACCACTTCTTATGCTTTGCAAGGATCAAGGACAAGGCTTAACACTTTTGAGTCAGTCTTGAGCACCTAAAGCACTCTTTTAAATTTTGAAGTGATGGAAAACAGGAAAAGCTTTTTGCATCTGGATGTAAAAATCCATGTGTATTTTAAGGGAAATAGGATCCATGCATTTCTGATTAATTTACACTTAAATCAATGAAGTGTTTTGCAAAAGATATTTGATGTTCAAGAAGCCTTTTTTAAAAAGTCTAATGGGACTTTAAAGCTGTTTTTGTCTTAAGAAGAGGAACTTATTTTTTCCCCCATGATCTTATACACAAATGGTATGGTTTCAAAGTCTCATTTACAGAATCTTTTTGCTTTCAAAATCTTTCCATTTACCCCTACCCAGAGGTAGCTAACCTGGATTTGATTATGATTAGCTTTATCTATCTATTATTTATTCATTATTTTGTCAGTAGCATTCTCAAGGAAACAGGCAGATATATTTGGGGAGACTGTCAGAATATTGGATGTGATCTTCTTCCTCATAAACAAAAAAGCCTCAGAAGTTTCTAGCAAAATGGAGGACTGAATGAATTACACAAGATACGATTATCATGTGGAGGAAGAAGATGTAAAACAATGGCTGAGGATAGAGGCTTGGAACCGATGCTGTCTTCATGTTTGTAGAGTAGATAAAACCAAAAGAAAATGTGTTTGGGGGTGATGGTAACTAGAATTAGTTGAGCAACCACTATATGTTTGAGTTTTTCAGAATGCTGTTCTATTTAATCTACTCAATTGTTAGGAGATACAGATGTTATTAATTCCATTTTTTAGATGAAGGATGTAAGACTCAGAAAGAGATATTGACTTCCCTAAATCACACACGTGGTAGGCGGCGAGTGTAGGATTTCTACCTGTGTTTTCCCTTCAGACCAAACTTTTTAGAAGACCTCAGCATTTGTCATGCTGCAGGTAGTGAGTCCCCATGGCGATTTCTGATGGGACAGAGATGTGGAAAATAAATAGGTGGGAAAGTTACTTTCTTTCCAATTTTCCTTCAACCCTCTGATTTTTGTCAAGAGAGAACATTTCAGTTCCCTGCCAGTGCTGATCTCTCTAACAAGGCCAATGCTGGCCTCAGGTTCAGAGCCTTAAGCGGACTCCAAGTACCTTGTTAGAATTGAAGAACATTGTTTTGCATTCATTCAATTCATTTCTAAGTTTACCTTGTATTTATGGCAAGTAAAAATAATTTTCTTGTTTTTAGGCATGAATATAAAGTTTTCTTTCAAAACAAATGTTTATTTTATGTTTTTAGAGAAATAAGTTGATTAAAATATTTTATCACACAGATGGTGCACAGACAAAAAAAGACAGCACTGTATATATGACTGTAGCTTGGGGAGAAATAGTTATATTTAAAAAAGTCCTTTCAAAATAACATTATCAAGTAAATTGTCCACTTAAACTGGGAAGTATACACATTTAAAGTAGTATTCCTGAGCTTAAAGTTTCATTCAATATTGAATGTTTCATATTACTTTCATTTCCTGTAAAATCATCTCCAAAAATATAAATGTTAGGTCTAGAAGTTACAAAGAATTGGAACAGTATAACCTATTCCAGTGGACATTGCAGAAATGGTTTTAGTCTTCAGCTACCATTCAGATACAAACAGAATTATAATATTGTATCTCTGCCTGCCTTCCTCCCCACCAACAATATTTCAAAACAATAATCATCATCTTCACTTAACATCCTGGACATAGGTTAATGGGAATTCTGCTGTAGTTTCTTTTTTTCACAGAAGGCTGAGTTAAAATAAATCAAATAAATCTTCCCAGTGTACACATTTGAAGCAGAGTATGTGAAAACAAACTAAAACCTACTTCCAAGTTTTGTGACTATTTTATTTGGTTTATCACCCAATTTCATTTGGGGAGACATTGTGGTCCTCTTCAATAAAAGTTTATTTTTATTTTTTCTCCTTGCCATTGCAAAGGGAAGTCAAAATATTGCTCATAAAGTGTGAATGTCTTTATGAACAGCTGATAGATATCAAGGAAATGCTCTGAGGATTAGAAGGTGATTTTGTGACAAAATATCTACTTTCTCTAAATAGTACCTTCAGTAGCTTTATAGCAAATATTGCCGAAGAAAGAGAATATAAATCGCTTAAATCCCCCAAGACTTAATACTGAAGAATCATTTATGTTTTTCTTTTGTTTGAATTACTAACACTGTACTGAGTAAGGAAAAAAAAAAACACTTTACAAAGAAAAGTGAACAGAGAGAGGGTGTGGAGGGTGCTACGCACACAGTACTAAACACTGGGTCCCTTTTTGATCATTGGTTTTGCATGATGTATTCAGGGCCTTGGAATTTGGGGTGCTTCTGTGGGGATATTCACAATTGTAAACGATGCACATCTTTTATCATTGCCAGATGTGAAATATACAATTTTGGAAATGTACCAGTTTGGAGTCAGAAAATCTAGGATGTATTCTGGGTCCTGTCGCTAGAGATAGGACTTTTAAAAAGTAAAATAGCAATTGTTCTTTTTTCGCTTTGATTTGTTTCTCTTTTAGAGATGAGTTTCTGGTAGTCACTATTTGACAAATTGTAACAGAACCCTCCCCATTTTCCTTTCTACTTGCCCTGTGAATTTGTTCCTGCTGGTTGGATCAGTCAAGATGGGAATGCTAATTTATTACAGCAGTCTTTTGTCAATGTCACTTTTATATGTATACAGTGCTTTCACCTCTCCTTTTTCCTTTTTCTGTGGTCACACCTCCGCTAACTCTCAGTAAAAGATTGCATTTAACTCTCTGAACCTGGGGTTCTTCATCAGTAATCGGGAAGAAATTACCCTTGTCTCACCTCTCTCACTGGATTTTAGGAAAATTCCAATAATATGAAATCTATGTGGCAAAACTGCTAACCCTAAATACACGCACACACATACACACACACACAATGTTACAGTCATTTATGTTAACAGGTGAAGTCAAAAGCAAGAAAGAAAAATTTTTCCTGTTTGTCAGAAATTTTGGGTCTAATGTTGTGCTGTGGTTTGGATGTTTGGTTGAAATCTGATCCCCGGTGTTGGAGGTGTAGCCCAGTGGGGGGTGTTTAGGTCCTGGAGATGCATCCCTCATGAATAGATTAACACTTCTTCCAGGGTGAGTTCTCTCTCTGTTTGTTCCCCTACTACTGCGGGTTGATAAAAAGAGCCTGGCAGCTCCCCACTGTCTCTTGTTTCCTCTCTTGCCATGTGATCCCTGCACACATCAGCTCCTCACCTCCCCTTCACCTTTTGAAGCAGTCTCATTGCCTGGAGTAACACCCAAGGTTTGTTGTCTCAAGGCCATGGAGAACAAGGACGTGGACACACAAAGAGTGAGGTTAAGAGTGCAAGTTTAGGCCGGGCACGGTGGCTCACGCCTGTAATCCCAGCACTTTGGGAGGCTGAGGCGGGTGGATCATGAGGTCAGGAGATTGAGACCATCCTGGCTAACATGGTGAAACCCCGTCTTTACTAAAAAAAAATACAAAAAGTTAGCCAGGTGTGGTGGCAGGGACGTGTAATCCCAGCTATGCAGGAGGCTGAGGCAGGAGAATGGCATGTACCCAGGAAGTGGAGCTTGCAGTGACTGGAGATGCACCACTGCACTCCAGCCTGGGCGACAGAGTGAGACTCCACCTCAAACAAACAAACAAACAAAAAAAGAGCAGAAGTTTAGCAGGGGAAAGAAAGAGAATAGCTCCCTGCAGAGAAGGGTCCCAGAAAAATGGGTTGCCAGGTCCATGGTGAAATGCAGGGGGTTTTATAAATGAGCTGGTGAGGAGGTGGTGTCTGATCTACATAAGGTGTAAAAAACTGGTTGGACCAGGTGTGTCATATGCCTACGGTGTGAATCTCTGGTAATCCCACCCTAATCGTTTATACAGGCAGGTTCTCTGCCTGAGCTGTGCCATGTTGCCCATTTCTTTATTACTGTACATGTGGTAACAAAAAAAAAGGAAGATGGAGCCTCCATGTTGGACATACCAGGCCCCCAGGTAACCCTTTTCTATTGGCGCCGCTGCCGGCATTCCCCCATGCAAGCTTCTGGCTTCCTTATTTGTTTGCAGCTCAGTTTTTCAGGCTGCTCTTTGTTAGAAAAGAAATTATTTTGGTGGCTGTTTTTGTTAGAAGGGAAGCTCTGCTGAGGACTTCTTTACCTTCACTATCTGCCTAAATAATTTCTTTCTATCTCCTCTATCACTTTTACTATAAGTGGATGCAGCCTGAGGCTCTCACCAGATGCAGATGCCCAATCTCGAACTTTCCAGCTGTCAGAATTTGAGCCAGATAAACCTTTTTCCTCTATAAATTGCCCAGCCTCAGATATATTCCTTTGTAGCAACACTAAACTAAGACATATTGTATCTGTCATCTTCCATAACGATATTACACATAGACAGAGAGAGTGGGTACCACGTTATATGTGCGGGAGCCAAAATCTCCCTCATCAGCAGACATACTTGTCTGGCTTGCCATTCTCTTTGAAAATTTCACCATGAACATTTCTCCTTATAAGCAAAAGCATTATATGAATACTTGGTAGTAATAGTGTTTATTTGTTTGATTAACCCACTAGAAGTTCAGTGTCTTATTAATGTATAGATAGTGTATCTATGACTACATCTACCTGACTACTCACTTTTATCAAGTATGTATTAAATCTCATTTTGGTTTCTACTTAGTATCAGGTGCAGCTAATTGGGAAATGAATGAGACAAGATGCCCTCAAAATCTCAGTCAAGTGGCAGAGACAGACATTGTGAACACATGATCTTGGTTCAACAGCAGCTCTCAAGTCCTGTACAGAATGGATTGATGGTAACAGCGAAGGCATAGGAGTCCGAGAAGATCCTTGGAAATACCTCTCTGAATAACCTTGTAACCTTCTAACCTTGTGTCATTTAACTTCTCTGACACATAGTCGGGTGTGGCTGGAGTGTAGAATACATGGGAGAGTATAAGAAGTTGGAAGATCACGTGCCAAGAAAGTTAAATTAGCCAACTCATGAGGTTCTCATCTTCCAGGCTGAGAAACTTGGACATTAGTCTACCAGGCCTCTTTCGTGTTGAAAAATATCCAGGAGGTGTATATATATATCACCTCCGTGATAGCTGTTAAAAATATATAGCCCTAGAGGTTGGGTGAAGTGTAGATGTTATAAGGGACAATGGAAGGCAGGAATACGATTTAAGAGGTAATTGCAATACTAACAAAAAACAGCAAACATAAAATAGAACTTTTATAAGTGCTTTAAGCCATTGACTACACATACATAGGTACCTCATACCTATACCTATAATAAGAATACCTTAGGATACAGGTACTTATGATACAGGTATTCTTATTGTCTTTTGTAGATCAGAAGTGTGAGCTAAAGGGAAGTTAGGTAACCTGCTCATGATCACACAGTTAGAGTGCCTTCAGAAATCTTACTTTTAACAATTACGTTATACTGCAGTAGTCCAGGTGGGAAAATAGGAGGGCCTGAACTAAGCTGAAGCATTATAAGAACATGCTTTTTATGTGAATGCACATTTTGGACTTGCTATCTCTGTGCCTATGATATCGTTTGTACCTCCAGAACAGGCACTCTGAATTGTATAAATTATTGTTATCTTTATAGTGTTTTAACACAGCCTTCTTTAGTGCTTGGCAAACAGCTCATGCACATTTAGCAAGTGCACCAGGGTGATGGGAGTCAGAGGCATCAGTAGATTCTGTCTACAATTTGAAGTATACGACTCCACTGCAACATGAGACTCCAGGTATTGCCAGGCAGACATGCAACAGTGCCCATTGCTCTTGCCTTCCTCCATCATCGTTGCTCATTGCTTTAACCTAGAATTTCTTGTTTACTTTCCCTTGCAGTTTATGCATATGGACATCTTGCTTGACCTCCAAGGTCCAGTCAGCTGATGAGACAACTGCTATAAGAATTATTTGCAATCTCTGCCCATCCACAAACTCTCCACCATGACTACTGCACTTAGAGCACTCTGCAGTATTTTCCAGATGTCTGTTATCTGTCCTGTCACACCTAGCAAGCGATCTGGGAAAACAGGGAGCATCTATGATTTTAACGAAGTATTAACTACACACAAGGCAATATGCAATAAAGAAAATAAAATGTCTTGAAGGATTGTGAACATATGGGAAATGATAAGTGACTGACAGAGTTTAAATTGTGTGGATGGTATACCTATAGCTTAAGTCAAACAAAGTTTGTCCCACTAGATTTTCACACATAGTATAGTGAATAGAGAAGATATGAGTGGATAATTTCCTCACAGTGTATAATTTCCTCAGCCTGATGTCCACAGCCTTTATAATCTGCCTCCAACTTCCTTTTACTAACCAATCTCTCATAACCTCTGTGTGAAACTTTCTCTCCACTCACTCTGAACTTAGTGCTTTGGTTTACTAGATTTTTCTTTAAATTTTTTTGTCTATGGCAGTTATTGCAGATACCTCTTGCCATGCTGTAACCAGAGCAGACCCTTCTAATTGATTGTGACTTAGTATGGAAGCATTTTTAAGATTTATCTCAGGGCAGCACTTAAGACAGCCACCAAAAATCATTCAGAATTTGACAATTAGATTAACTTCCTTTGCCAAATAAGCTTGCATGCTTCCTTCAGCTTGAAATGGCCAACTTCATTGGTCTCATCATTAGGAATCCTGCTAATTCACGTCCTCCATGAAAACGTCCTGATTTCCTCAATTCATGGGGAATTACCCCCTCAGACCTAATGTATCACAGGTCTACAACATTCAGAAAATCCTTCTCATTTGTTCCCTAGTCTGCCTCCTTAGCTGTTGCAGTCACAGCCACCTGTTTGCATGACCTTACCTGTCTACTTCTTTTTGGGGTAAAAATGCTCCTTATATTCCTTGTGGCACTCATATAAGCCTAGCACTTAGTAGGAGTTCAGCGAAACTGGAATAACAGAGATAACCAACTGATGGGTGGGGAAAAAAGCAAACCCGAAGAGACGCTGATCAAATTTAGTATAAACCAAGACAATGGAAAGTGAAGAGAGAGTGGATTGACAGGGCCATTATGTAAGTTAATTTGCTCTAAGATGTCAGCCCCATTCTTGGCTTTTCCTGGCTTTCAATCTGCGTGAACTCCTTGTCCTGCAGACAGACAGACAGCTTCAGGGTGGATTAAATAATCAGTCAAGTGAGAAGAGCATCTCCCAATATGTCTGCAAAGACACTTCTATTTCAAGAATGATTATTAAAAGCCACAAGGAAGACAGTGATAACACAGTTGAAACATTGACTTACTGATCAAAAGAGACACTAATACGCACTCCTTAAGGGAAAGAGTTAGATTTTAACATGCATACAAGCAAATCCCTTTGCTCCTTCTTTTCCATTCTGCATTGTCACACAAAAATCCCATTTCTGATACTCTCATTTTGGCTCACGGCTTTTCTGCAAATAGTTTAATTTGTGCTTTGTTTCGTCTTCTTTCCTTCCTTGCTTTCCTGCTTCTTTCCCTTTCTTTTTTTTCTCTTTCTTTCTTTCTTTTGTTCAACTATTTTAGCAGAACTATTTTTCTTTAGGTTCTATCTCTTTTTTGTATCACTCTGTTTTTCCCTTTCTCCCTTAGTTTATTTCTTTTTTTAATTGCATTCAGAGAGATTTTCCTCCTCAAATAGATGGTGTGGCCCCCCGAATAGAACTCAATGTACAATTTGTTGAAGAGTAAACTTCATCAAGTAAAGTTATAGTGGGACTTGGATTATTTTATTTTTTTGTTTGTTTGTTTGTTTTTTAGGTGAGATATCATTACCTCTTGAAATCTAAATGTCCACATTTGTAACATAACATGAGTGCATTATAGCAGGCACACAGGAAGACTCTTAAACGGTAACAATGGTGACTTTAATCAATATTGCATATGGAAATTGAGCCACTGACCTTGGGATATCTATTATATTGGCTCAATGCAAATTGGTTCTTTCATTTTAATCCCCTGGGTTTTTTAACTCATTTTATGTATATCAGTCAATTTTCTGAGATGTTTGGCTCTTTTCACCTAGGATAACTGTTTTCTGCAACATGCTAAAATTCATTTCCATGTGGCAGGTAGAGAGGTCACTAGGTTTGTAAGCACTCCTAATTAAAATGCATGATGCTACAAAGGTAAAAGGGACAATGAGCCATAAACAAATCGCCTGACAGTAGCTGACAGCCATCGACTGGACGTACATGTTTTTTTCATTGAGAATAGGAAAGATCTGGTTTTTTTAAAGATGCACACATACCACACGCTCTTCCAAGTTAACTCTTTCTCATGAAAAATCTGTCTCTGACTTAGGATTCAAATGACAATTGAAACTGGAGGAGCTGACTTTTCTCATACTTCCTCTCAACTACTTTCATTATTTACCATCTTAAAATCAATTTTCAGGAAAAAAATAAGGCAAGATCCATTATTAAATATTTTTAAACATTAGGTGTTAGTAATCATACCATTTCAGACCTAGAAGGACATTTCAAGATAATTGTGGTCATTAATCTTTTATTATTATTATTATTATTATTATTATTATTATTATTATTATTTTGAGACAGGGTCTCACTCTGTCGCCCAGGCTGGAGCGCAGTGGCGCAATCTCGGCTCACTGAAACCTCTGCCTCTCAGGTTCAAGCAATTCTCCTGCCTCAGCCTCTTGAGTAGCTGAGACTACAGGCATGCGCCACCACACCGGCTAATTTTTTTTTTTTTTTTTTGGCAGAGACAGGGTTTTGCCATGTTGGCCAGGCTGGTCTCAAACTCCTGACTTCAAGTGATCTGCCTGCCTCGGGCTCCCAAAGTGCTGGAATTGCAGGCATAAGACCACTGCAGTCCTGGCCTACTGATTTGTTTTACAACCTGAGATCTGTGCTGTTCAAGCAACTTGCTCAGGATCACACACGGTATTTGGAAATGCTGGCTCTTAACTGGCCCAGGCACAAAAGTCTTGTGCCTGTGATTTTTGCTCAGTGAGGATGCATAACAGCTAACAGCCAAAATTCAAATTCAGGATTCCTGACTCCCAGATCAGAGATCTTTCATTTTATGTGTGTCCTAAAATGACCCTTTTCATTAGTTCATTGAAAAGTCAAGTGGTTTTGTATCACTTATGTTTATATTTGCTACAGTGAGTTGGATATCAGCACTTTTTGAGTGTCTCCTGATACCTGGCATTTAAATGTGTATTACCTATTTTATCATCTGTTCAAAACTGTAAGATAGGTTATATGACCTCAATTTTTGAAATGAGGAATAGATCATCAGAAAGACTTAATAACTTTCTCAAGAAAACATAGACTAAATCCTGGAATTTGGCTTGACCTATTATTATTTAGAAAGTCCACATAATTTTGACTAAACCATTCTGCCACCTAAATCTTCTAAGTACTGTCATTACAGTGCCCAATGTAAAATTAGTCATCTAATGCCAATTTTCCCAGTGTTAATGAACATCTCCTAGTGTTTATGATCTTAATGAAAAAAGTTTAAACATATATATTATGCAATAGATATTATATGCAATATATAATATAACATCTATAATATCTATTTGATATAAATAATATAATTTCTATTTATTTGATTAATTGCTCATATTTGCTGATATATTTTTTCTGAGGCTAATTGATTGAATAGTAAACTAGAACCAAAGAGAGGGACATAGGGAAGACATTGTCTAAATAGAAATTATGCATCCTTACTATTCACAATAGCAAAGACATGGAATCAACCTAAATGTCTATCGATAGTAGACTGGATAAAGAAAATGTGGTACATATACACAATGGAATATGATGCAGCCATGAAAATGAATAAGATCATGTTCTTTGCAGGAAGATGGAGGAAGCTGGAGGCCTTAGCAAACTAATGCAGGAACGGAAAACCAAATACCGTATGTTCTTACTCACAAGTGGGAGCTAAATGATGAGAACACATGGATATATAACACTGAGGCCTATCAAAAGGTGGAAGGTGGGAGGAGAGAGAGGATCAGAAAAACAATTAATGTGTACTAGGCTTAGTACCTGGGTGATAAAATAACCTGTACAACAAACCCCCATGACATGAGTTTACCTATCTAACAAACCTGCACATGTACCCCTGAACATAAAAAAAAAAGTTTAAAAAAGAAATTGTGCATTCTTTGCAAAAATAGTTCAAGTATTATTCAGAATACCATTACAAAACAGGCATATGCCCCAGGAATATGAAGAACTCTTATGTTTCAATAGTAGAGTCACAAATGTTTGGATGTGAGTAAATGTGCATTGCTTGAATCCCTTTGGAATCCCCCCATCCACACTTCCTGCCAGGTGAGCAGTTCTAATCCATTCTTCTTCTCTTAATGAGGGATGCTGAGGTCCCCCCAATCAGAATTCAAGGCTGCATCCATCATTCTCTCTAACTACTCATGCAGTCTTTCAGTAAAAGTTCACCTGATTTTTAGCACGTTAATAGTTCTCAAATGTATCCATTTGCATCACCCCTGACATTGCCCTATTCTAAGTCTTCACCATCTCTTGGCGACATTATTACAAGCTCCCGAACTGGTCTACATAAATCTGTAAAAATCAGCTTTCGGAAACGGAAATTGGCTCATGTAATTGCATAGCTGTTCCTCTCAGCCCTCGCCCTCGCTGCTCATGACATTCTTTAGAACCACGCTGAGGTTGCCCTTTCCTCTTAGTATGCAGATTGACACCTTTGTCATCTCCTACAAGATCCTGAATGGGGAATACCTCTCCTCATCTTGCAGGAAACTGCTACTTCTTCTCTGTGCTGGGGAATACTGGCCTTGGCACTAGTCCTCATGCAATCCAGACTCTGCTCATGTTCTTCTCTCCGCCTGAAACTCCCCATTCTGGATTAATTTTACTCATTCTTTAGATCTCAGTGCAAGCACTCTTTCTTCAGGAAAACCATCCCTGAATCTACATCTATTTCCAGCAAATCTGTTGGGGTTTTTTGTTCAATGCTTTCATACTACTGTTTCTTCTTCTCTGTAGACAAACCTATACTTAATCCTGGCTCTATCACATACTAATTCTTTCACTTGGTAAAAATCAACCTGTCCACACTGAGTTCAATTTCTTCTCCTCCATGCTGGGAATAATGATGTCTACATCGTAGATGTGTGGTGGGAATCAAATGAGATAACAAAGGTAATGCCAGATAGGTGTTTGCTTTGTTTTTACCTTTAGTGGATCTGCACGGTCAAACACCTTCACCCACACATCAACATACTCACACTCCTCTTTTACTTTTACAGAAGGTATGCATAGGCAGTGCTAGACAGCTTTTTAAGAACCTTACCTTAATCGTGTGAATTCATAGAGTAGAGACATTGTAAAGATTCATTCTGTTGATTCTCCTACCATGTGTTTCTTTCTTTAGAATAGTGGCTAGAGGCACAGATGCTCACGCATTACTGCCTGGGTTCAAGTCCAGGCTACACTTCTTACTTGATGCATGATCTTACTAACTTATTTGTTATGACTCCTCTTTAAAATGGGAACAATAATAAAACTGAACTCATGGACTTATACTAATGATTAAAATAATGCATTAGAATAGTGACCAGATATATTAAGCACTATATGGGTTCCAGCTTTTAAAACAGATAAGCTTCTACCAACCTTGAAAATTCAATTATACAGATAAGCTTTTATCTGTGTTGAAAACTCAATTAAACATGGTTTTATTTTCATAAAGCAAAGATAATGCTTTTAGAATTCTGAGAAGGCACTGGGAAATGAGTGAAAGAGAAATCAAACCAGCCTAGAAGTCACCCTTTTGCATTATTTATGTATTATGTACATGAAAGTTAGGCAGGAGTCAAGAAATCCATTTGTTTGCTTGACTGTTATGAGTCAGGTTTTAGGGCCATAAAGAGAATGAAACTAACATATGACACCAGGCATCTTTCTTTTCTATTCCATATATTTCTTTTACAAAAACTGTACTTATTTTCAGGATGTTTACAGACACATTAACTGTCTTCAGATCATATTAGCTGAAAGAGCATGTTTGGGAGAGAGGGAAATATTTCTATTAGGTTCTAACTAGTTCCTAGGCAGGGGGATGAAAAGTTTACATCATTAATTCCTTCTGAAGACCCTGTGAGCTATAGAAAACTCCTGCTGTCATTGTAGTAAGGATGGAAATCATGTCCTAATTCCTCTTTTCCCAAAGGAAGTTATCATCCCATTGAATCTTTCCTGTTTTGTACCTTCATTTTTCTTTAAAAAAATTGGTGTTTTCCTTGAGACATGTTCCAGTCTTGACCCTTATTAGCAAACCCTAACAAATCAGAATTAACATTCCCCTAAGAGAAACAGAACTTTGGACACACTTTCTGGAAGGAAAGACACAAAAACATGCCCAGTTCTCTCAAGCCTCTTAGTGGAAAGAATTTCTTTTTCTCCATCTCTGGCCAACTCCTGTTTTTTCAGCATTTAACTCAGATGTAATCTCTTCCAGGATTCTTTTCTTAACCTTCCCTATTCCGCCAAAGGATGAGTTCCGTATCACTTATTATGCGCTAGTCATTAGACAAGCTGCCATCAACTTGGCATTTACTGGGTTTATTGTGCAATGGCCATTATAATTATTTATAGGATGATGGTAGAGTGTCAGAGTGAAAATACATTTTTTCCAGAGTGGAGACTACTGTTGGCTCTTTCAGGGGAATCTCCAGAGAAAGCCTGGCATTTTACAATTCACTTCCACGGATAAGTCTTCCAAAACTCTATTCTCTCCCTAGCTGGGTTATCTATCCCCCTTCTTGAGTTTACCCTGCAATTTTCACGCCTCTATCAGCGCTATTACCATCCTGCTCTCTGATCATCTGTTTTCAAGTCCTCCAACACAAGACTGTAAATTCCTTGTAGGCAGAAATTTTCTCTTAAACATCTACAAATCCATGGTTCTTAGCAAAGTGCCTGACATACAGTGGGCATTCGATATATGCACCATTTACAAAAAGTAAATATTGATGTTTGAAAAATGTTGGAAAAAAAAGCTGAAGCTGCAGAATTAAAAAAAAAAAAAAAAGACAAACAGAAAGGGAAGACACGGTAACCAGAGCTCCCATCTGTTAGTCCCACATCTAACATATTCTGAGACGTCATATTTTCAAGCCCCTATACAGGGATGGAAGCGGAGCACATGCCTTTGATTTTTTGTATTTCTTTTAACACACACTGTCTGTAACCACACCTGCTGAAAGCATATGCATGCCATAGGAAAGAATACTCAGCTCCCATCCACAAATGGTTCTGCACTCTCAAACAGACTGGTCTCGTGACTAACTTAAAATATCAATGCAGAGGAAAATCTACCTTACACAGCAAGGGTGATGAAAGATTCAGGGGAAAACTATTTCTTATTAAAAAACTGGGTGCTCTAAAGCATACTGGCTTTTTCCATTTAGTGATCCTTTGCAGCATGACACCTTTATTGTAAAAAAGCACATATTTAGAAATGACTGTGCTCAAAAGACTCCTATTTTTCAAAGTGCCTGTGGGCTCCAAATGCAATTCTATATGCAGCTAAGTCTCTAGATGCTACCAACACTAGAGATTCAACAGGCTCATGCACACTTTGTCTTCTGTCAATCTGTCACCCAATTTGACCAAAGAAGTGGATCTTTGACGGTAAAATTATTTCAGTGTTTATTTTCCTTCTGAGTAAAGACAAGGGGTGTTTAATTGTATATCATTGACTCACACTGCATATTTCCCTCTGTATTTAATCTACATGATTCCAATTTAACTAATCAAAAAGTAACTCATGCCTTGCTTTCCCAATGACTTTCTTGTAGTTGTTTTTGCTCTACCATTTAACTAGAGGCATATGTAAAAATGTACCCCTAAGTTTATGAGATTATTGGCAGTATCAAGGCTCTGTTAGAAACAGATACTCTGAAAAAATAAGTTTAATACTTTAAGATACATATTTATTTGGAAACATTTTATTGAAAAGGATTGTTTAAAAAAATCCTATATAAATTGCTAAGTTACTGCTTGTAGCAAAATTGCAGTAATTATAGCTGTTAATATTATAATTATTTATTATAATACATGTGAAACTAGGTTTTATATAAAGATGACTTTGTTTTGTTCCCCAATATTTTGTCTCCATAACTCAAAAGAAAACAATGACTGAAGGAGTTTTCATATTGCTAAGTGAACTAGATAAGGAAGTTCTGCAATAAAATATATTTTTAATATCTAGAAGTTTCAGAGGAAAATGTACTTAAAAGAATCAACAGAACACCTTATATTACCTGAGGAGTTCAAATATTGGAAGTTCTCAAGTGGCTGATTTTGTGGTCCCAAATTTCTCTACCACTTGCAGATGCTCTGTGCATTCAGCAGCAGGGGTATTGTTAAATTTGAGAATATAAGGCAATAAGCAGTACCTTTCATAACATTAATATTAAGTGCAGAAGAATCAAATGTTTTGTTGCAAATATGCACATCTGGTTTTTCTGTTATCATCTTATATTATTCTAGTAGTTGACTTTAGGAAAAAAGTGTTAATTGCTATACAACTCAACTCTAAGAAATACGTTTTATTGAGTGTTTTAATAAAAGATATTCTGTATATTTTTGCTTGATGTGCCTGAAGAATTTTCAGAACACTATGTCTAAACACTGTACTTGCCCTTGGCCTTCCTTTTGTATATCAGCTCTGTCTAAGCCAGGGATCTATTGCCAACGTATGGGCCATTAGTGGATTAGAAGTCATCTATGAACATTCAGAAATGAATGGTAAATTGTATTTGTCTACAATTTTATAATAAAGTTTTTTTATTAGATTTTCAGTGACCCTTCAAATAGTAAATTCTTCGAAAATAAACAATTTCAGAAGTTTAAATAGATAGATTAGAATTCATTTATTACCTATTACATACTAAGAACTTCATATTCATTAATACATAAAATTGTCCACTGTGGCATAATAAGACAATTGTAATTATTTCTAGTTTTCCATTAGAAAATTATTTATTTTATCTTATTTTTGGGGTACAGGTTCTCACTCTACCACCCAAGCTAGAGTGCAGTGGAGCAATCTCAGCTCATTGCAGCCTCAGCCACCCCTTGGCTTAAGCAATCCTCCCACTTCAGCCTCCCAAGTAGCTGGGAATGCAGGTGTGCACCACCAAGCCCAGCTAATTTTTTTTTTTTTTTTTTTTTTTGTGGGAATGGGGTTTCATCATGTTGCCCAGTCTGGTCTCAAATTCCTGAGCTCAAGGGATCCTCCCTCCTTGGCCTCGCAAAGCTCTGGGATTACAGATGTGTGCCTCTGTGCCCAGCCTCTATTAGGAATTTAGATTTTGAGAAGTTAAGGGGCTTAATTATGTCATACAATTAGTAAGTAACAGATTGGACATACAAATTCATAGCTATCTTTCTCTAGAATGTATACATTTTCTGCTAAAATCTACTGCCCCCCACAGACAAAACATTTAAACAGTTGTGTGTCTGAATTTTTGTTTTTCTTCCATTGTTGACTAAAAGAAAGCTATGCATTTTATTTGTACTTTAATAGTGACACTATTTTTTGACCACTTATATTTGTCTGGTGCTTGGTTCACTGACCATTAACAGCCTGTATGTCTTCTGATCATACCATCATTTTGTGTATTATTCAGGGCGGAGATTAACAAGCCCATTCCACAGATGCTTTTTTGACCCTCGTTTTCCTGAAATTATTTATCCAACTGCACTTGGTTAATGTGAATATTCTCCTGCTGGTTGGAAGATTTAGTGAAAGTCAGGACTACCGGTGCTGTGATCTGCCACATTCAGACTAAAAACAAAGATCAATATCATACCACCTCATTTTGACATACAACATGTACTTAGCGACAGAGGTTAATTTGTAGTAGGACTAGCTTTGTGACTTTAATCTCTATTTTACCTACTTACTTGACCTATATGAGACAAATAAAACCATTGCAATGACCCGTTGTGAGAATTCAGGGGCTTTTATGAAAGCTCCTTTTGTCTTGTGTCAGCAGGTCTCAGGGATTTTCCATCTGCTCTGAAAGTAAAGTGAGAACATTCCTTTGCTTTAGGTAATGAGAAAGGATGTCATAAGTGATATAGCATCTCAAAAGTTGATTTCATCTTCATCTGTCCTTTCTATTCTAGAACAGAATAGCTCATTTTCCTAGTTTATGCTAATATCATTAAACACTGTAATTGCAAACCAAGTGACTTCTGGCAATCACTAATTTCTTACATCAGTTACACATAAAGAGAACAGATGAAACAGTTGCAACACTCAGAGGCCCCCGTATTTTTCTGTTAGCAGGCATAAGCAACCACGGGATTTACGATTCCTTATTTCACTACCTCCTGGATCTTACCCAAAGACATATCTCTGTTGCCATACTAGGATTAGAGACATCTTTTGTTTACACAAGGACTTTCTCCAGGTGAATTCAGGTCAGAACCTAAAGAGGGGTTAGCCCCGGGGGGCATACTGAAGGTGATAACAGTGGGGAATACCTTACTTTTACTCTTTCTGACCACCTATATTTCCTGCTGTCTTTTTACAGCTAGTCCCAGGTAGACCATTCTGTTGTCCTACACCTTTGGAGCGGTTTTGCTTAGACAAAATGAAACAATTGAGCTGACATTTTAATCTAAAAGATTTTTAGGACACAGAGTGTTTTGAGGAGCTGCCTTAACTTGCATTGTAAAAATATTGACTATTATCAAAATGTCAACTTGTATCTCCTTTGTTCCAGATTTCATACCAAAGTGTGGGATATTTACTTACCAAGAATGAAATGGGCTATAAATTCTCAGTGCCCCCAAAAAGAATACATGAATAAAAAATCAAAAAGTGCAAGAGTGAAATCACAGGATTTGTCTCTGATCAGTGGTTTTAAATGGGGACAGAGGCGTGGTCCTTATCTGTTCTCTCATACTAAGGGGAAAAAAGAATCTTGGCTTATAACTTGAATTTTAATGGCTTTATATTAGTCCTTGTACTATTTTAGAGTTGCACTTTCTTTATCTATTAGAACTGAAGTGGATTTTAGGGATCTATTAAAGTTGGTTTTGTTTGGTTTGGTTTAGTTATTTTGTTTTTTGGAAAATCAGAATAATTCTCTAATGACATATAGCAAATTGTGGCATGGCTTGAACTGTCCAAATTTTCCTGGCACCCATCCTAGAATGTTTTTATTTTTTATTTTTTATTTTTTTTACATCTCCTCTTAATGACACTTTTCTTGGAGAAAGCTTTCCCATAGCCCATTATGCTCAGTAAAGTTTCCTTGTTATATGCTGTCACAGAATGGCATTCTTTACCTGCATAACATGTTTATCAACTTTTCATTATGCATTTATTTTAGGGTTACTTAATCAATAGCAGCTTCGCTCATTTGACTCTAAATGTCACAAAATCTGGAAACTTGTCTTTCTGCTCATTTTTGTAACACAATGCCCTTTACCACTAGACTAAATTTAGTTTCTCAGTAATGTTTATTAAACGACAGTGTGAATAAATAATGTTTTCTTAACTTCTCTGAGCCTTGATTTACTCATTTGTAAAATAGTATATCACTGTACACCAGCTAGCGTTTTTAATAAATCAAATGGAGCATTTCTAAGGAAAGAGTTGTTACTCAATGAAGGTCCATTACAATACCTCGATGAATGTACATTATGATACCTCTATAAAAATTGTCTCTTTCAGTAATAATTATCTCTTGCAGAGTTAATGTGCAAATGAAATGGGAATAAATATCACTGGAGACTACCCTACAGAATACCATATACATAATTTATATTCAACATTACAACCTTATGTTTGTGTTTCAAGAAATATGGCTTCCTTCATTATTTTCTTCAACTAGATGATGAAGACAATAGTACCAATGTACCAACGGCCCAAAAAGCTATTTGTTTATTCATTTTTTACTGAGAAAATAAATTGTCATAAGGTGACAAACTAGAATCACTGCTCTCCTTCACAGCCCCTAATGCCAGGTGTCTTACATAAGAGTTGCCATCTTTGCCCACCCCAAAGTTGACATAAAGTACAAGTTTACAAGGAAGGATTTCATTATCAGCCTCAACTGTACATTGCCAGGTACATTTCAACCCATGCACATTTTCTTGACTCTGAAAATGCAACCACTGACCAGTATTTTTAATAATATAAATATACGATCTGATCCATTAGGCATTTTTGTTTTGAAAAACCAGCCTCTCTACTCTTTGATACTACTTTGAAAAATAATATAAAATGTATTATACACATAAACCTTAATATCTAGTTATTTGCACAATATACAAGAATCATTTTAGAAAAAAACGCATGCAGATGATCCCTATTTAGCGGCCTAGTGAGGCACTCAAATATTTTATATTTTCTTCAGGAAAAGTTTCAGCTACTTTAGCACTAACAAAAAATATCAAATAGGTGGAAATTGAGAGTGAAGAAATAAACGCTTACAACATAATGGGAGCTTTGGACATAATGAAGGATTTAATAATACAGTTTGTCTACATGAGAATTAAAAATAGTCTAAAGAGTGTAAGGTTAAAAATTATTTGCAAAATGTAAAAAGCTGAGCATAGCGTCACTTATAATCCCAGGACTTTGGGAGGCCGAGGCAGGAGGATCTCTTGAGGCCAGGCATTTGAGACCAGCCTGGGCAACACCACGAGACCTCATCTGTACAAAAAAAAAAAAAATTAGCCAGATATGGAGGCATGCACTTGCAGTCCCAGCTACTCCCTGGAGAGGGTGAGAATGGAGGAATATTTGAGCCCAGGAGTTCGAGGTTGCAGTTGTAGGAAAAACTGGGTTATCACACGAGCATGAAAGATTAGCCTCGCAGACACTTTGAATGGTGAGAAAGGCAGGGTTTATTGGGTGAAAAAGAAAAAAAGGGAAACAGGGACTCTCAGCAAAGTGAGAGTCCTGCTTGCAGGCTTCCCACTTCACAGACTGAATACCAGGTTACCACCCAGGAATAGGAGAGGCCAGGCTCCTCCTCGCTGCAAACAGGGCAAGCTTCCATGGCTCCACCCTAGTGCACACTCCTTCCAGTGCGGTTGGTGGTTCTCCGGGGACCCTTTTATACTTGGCTGTCTCACAGTAAGTTATGATCATGCCACTGCACTCCAGTCTTGGTGGCTTGGTGAAACTCTGTCTCTCAAAAAAAAAAAAAAGTAGAAGAAAATATTGAAATATCTAAGCAACGTACAGTTTAGTACTACCCATCCAAATCTTATGTGGCAATAATTACTACCCAAAGGAAAGCTTTGCTGGCCTTATTATCTGTATCTGTACGGCAAGAGGAAGTAGAGGTATACAAAGGATATTTACTGTAAATACAATTAGTAACTACAACCCATTCCTTCTTGTATATAAAGCCTATTTCCCTAGGTCTCTGTAGTCAGTCTAGACAGGCAAAATCCTCTTTTATTAGTATAACACTTGTGAAAATTAGAGTAAACAAATTTACTTGAATTCTGAGAGGCTGTGAGACATGATTCACTCAACAAATACTTCAGACTCAAAGACTGGGTTAAATTAGGGCATGAGAGATTAGAAAATTTGATTTGTAAAAGTGCAAAGAAAGTCATGAACACAGGTTTATTTTGTGAACTTCAGTTCAGTGTAGACAGGTTCTCAGTGGCATCCAGGTGAAAGAAAACTAGAGCTTCTCTGATTAAAGCTGATCTCTTCCTATTGGCCTATTCCCTACACCTGTAGAGTTTCAAAATAAATCCTAGGGCTCCTGGGAGACTATTTAGGGGTGAAAAGGCAAGGCCCAAATATTACCTATAATACGGCAGTTAATGGAAAATAATTTGCAAAGATAAAATCAGACTAGGTTGTGAAAAGATTAAATATTAATTGTGGAGTTTGAATTGCATTCTATAAGTGATAATATTTATTAAGATGAATATTAGGCCAGGTGTTTGGGGTATAAGATATACGTTAGTATGTAGCAGTGTGCCCAGGTAAAGACTTAATTTGATTTATGTGTGTGTGTGTTTGTGTGTGTGTGTAGAGAGAGAGTGAGAGAGACAAAGAGAGAGAGAGAGAGAGATTGAGATTTTGATTACTTGTCTTATAGGATGGTGGAGGTTGGCCAAGTCCAAAATCTGATGGGTATAGGCTGGAAAGCAGGAGACATAGGGAAGATTTATGGTTGGAGTCTAAAAGTAGTCTGCTGGCAAAATTCTTTCTTGCTCAGGAGAGATAAGTCTGGGTCCTATTAGGGCCTTCAACTGATTGGGTGAGGCCCACCCACATTATGGAGGCAATCAGCTTTACTCAAATTTCACTGGTTTAAATGTTAATTCCATCCAAAATGTATCTTCAGAGAAACCTCTAGAAGAATATTTGGTCAAATATCTGAGCACTACTTCCTAGCCAAGTTGACATATAAAATTAAATATTACATCTAAATCTTTCCCCACGAAATTATGATCAATAACCATAAGAAAGGAAGGCAAGGGTAGTGGTGCTTGGAATTTTAAACACGTCTCTCCTTTTAAATTAAAATTGGGTTATATTAGAGACCATTCAGCTATTTTCCAGGAAGATATTTGAGTTTGACCTCTTAAATTAAGTCACAGTTGTGATAGTTGTAATTAATGCAACCCAAATAGGCCTTTTTGTTTCTGAGTTCAGGTTCTAAAGGAAGCTGGAAAACTCTATTGCTAGGGAGAGAACACTTTATGTTTCTAGAGGAAAAAAAAAACAATAAAGAAAATAAAAAGTCACTTGAAATGGTCTCTCTAGTTTCAGAAATATAGATATTATGGAGTCACCCAGGGAAAATAAAACCATTGTACTAGAGGAGGGGGACCTCAAGGAGGCTACAACTCTGTGACTGACAAAGTATCATGAGGGGCCTCCAAATCAAAGGAAGCATTGATGAAAGGATATTACCTGCAGAACAAATTCTCATGTTCCAAGACATTTTCTCAGGGTCTGGGTTATAGAGACATCATTGTAGCCTAGACAAGTCACCGTGGTTGACTAGTGGAAGACCATACACAAGAGCACCCCTTGTGGCAGGGACAAGTAAGGACATCAGTAGAGATGGCTGATAGCACCAGAATCCTCCCTCTCTACACCCACATAGCTTTACATAGGAGTCTGATGTTTGAATTCTATTTTTTTATCACCTGACCATCATTTAATAGTTTACATTAGGGTTCATTCTTGGTGTTGTACATTCTATGGGTTTTGACAAATGTGTAAGGACATGCAGCCATCATTATAGCTTCATACTGAATACCTTCACTGCCCCAAAAATCCTCTGTGTTCCACCTAATCATGTCTTTTACCTCCAGCCCTGGCAACCACTGATCTTTTTCCTGTCTCCAGTTTTGCCTCTTCTAGAATGTCATATAGTTGGTTTTATACAGTATGTGAAACCATTAAAAGACATGGAGGAAGCTTAAATGCATATTACTAAGTGATGTTTGAATTCTTTAGGTGCTTAAGTTCTAAGGACAAAGAAGGGCATGGTGGAGACAAGACACTGAAACTGTATTCTTAACAATTTGGGAGGTAGCCAGTTATAATACAATTTTGGGGAAAAAAGGATTGTAGCTTCACTTTTGTTATACGTGAGAGGGGACAGTTTTGACGCATGGCATCATTTTATCAACACAATAACTGACAAGCTTTTTAAATATCCCTCATTTTATAGATGAAATTGTGAAATTAGGTGCTAAATTACTTATTTGAGATCACTCAGGAAATAAGTGGGAAAGTGTGTATTTAGATTTTGCCCAAGATTTCAACATTTTAGTGACTTGATCGGCTTCATTCAAAATAAGTCAAAGTTATGAATAATTTTGAAAATGTGATTTTGTTGTCAAAGGCATATTAGAAAAGGAATGTTTTTTCTTTGTTAATGTATAAGATTTCTGTAGCAGCCACTGATGCTCGAGTATTTTATTTTCAGAAGTCTCAGCTTTTCTATTAGTCCTCTGATAAGAACATAAATGTTCATCAGGTTGTATATTATGTGTCATCAGCATTCTTTTGTTCATGTGGGAGTCATCCTTTTGTTCATCAACATCATTTGCAGTTATAACTGTGGAAAATGGTTGTCAAAGTGTATAGAACTCTTATAGAAATCAAAACCAAAAATATGCATTGAGAATTGATCTCCATATATCTGACAAGAACATAGGCATCTTGGAACCACATCAATTTCAACTTTCAACCACTAGTCAATGGTTTATTGTGAACACTTCATTGAGAATTTGATCAGACAAAAGCTATGACATGAAAATTCAACACAAAGGCATAAAATTACATTATGGCTATGAAGAGAAGGGATTCATTCTTCCCAGAAAGATGATGCTTATAAAAATAAAAATTAAATACATTATACATATTTGTATCAGTGAATAAACTTGTTTTTTAATTAATTAATTTATTTATTTTGTAGTGACGGGGTCTTACTATGTTGACCAGGCTGGTCTCGAACTCCTGGCCTCAAGCACTTTTCTCACCTTGGCCTCCCAAAATGCTGAGATCACAGGCATGAGTTACCATGCCTGGCCTAAAGTTTTTAAAAATGTAATTCATAGGGTAGAAGTTAGACCAGCAGTCCTCAGCCTTTTTGGCACCAGAGACTGATTTCCTGGAAGAAAATTTTTTCACAGGCTTGTGGGTGGTGATGGTTTTGAGATGAAATTGTTCCACCTCAGATCATCAGGCATTAGTTAGATTCTCATAAGGAGCATGGAACCTACATTTGTCACATGCACAGTTCACAATAGGGTTGACGCTTCTATGAGAATCTAATGGTAACACTGATAGGACAGAAGGTGGAGCTCAGGCAGTAATGCCTGCTCCCCCACCGCTCACCTCCTGCTGTGTGGCCCAGTTCCTAACATGCCATGGTGGGGTGGGGACCCCTCTGTTAGACCATGTGTTTCAGAAAGAACTTTGCAGATAATTCTGTCTATAATGATGCTCATTAGGAATACACTGATATACTCAATACTAGATAAGAGACAAATGAAAAAAATGGGAAGCTTTAATGTCCTTTTCCAAAAGGTGTTTTGCTATGCTATGTTCTAATATCACAGGGAAAAAAACTGCTCCTTATCTCTCTAGGATGATGAAGCAACAGTACTTGCATTCATTGAAAAAGATGATATCCAATGGATTGTTTAATTAGAATGGATTATCTGCTTTAATTGTGAAAGGGCATATGAAGGAATATTATTTACAATATCAAAGAGCCTTGGACTGATCATCTATTTAGCCAACACGCCTGGGTCTTGATCCTGTGATAAGTGAGACTGAGTACCCCAGTAGGGAAGTTTTGAGATGGCTAGGAGGAAGCCAAGAAAGATTAAATTTCTCTTCCTGGTGTCAGTAAAGTACCTGCAATCATTTCAAAATGATAGGATAGGGACACAAATGGGCAGGGGATTTAGAGGGCTGTAAAGGACCTTAAAACACACCTTTTGCTTAAGGCCCAGTGTGTGTGGTGGAGATAAACAAACACAAGAAATTCAACACAGATTTTTGTCAATGTTGGTTTTAACTTGTGCCACAAATAGCTCATCACATTTTTTTTTTTTCAAGACAGAGTCTTGCTCTGTCACCCAGGCTGGAGTGCTGTGGTATGCTCTTGGCTCACTGCAATCTCCGCCTCCCAGTTTCAAGCAATTCTGCTGCCTCAGGCTCGCGAGTAGCTGGGATTACAGGCACCTGCCACCACACCCGGCTAATTTTTGTATTTTTAGTAGAGACACGGTTTCACCATGTTGGCCAGGCTGGTCTCAAACTCCTGATCTCGTGATCTGCCTGCTTCGAGCTCCCAAAGGGCTGGGATTATAGGTGTGAGCCACCACGCCCAGCCTGCTCATCACATTTTTAGCAGTGCTTCCAGGTGAGATTCATTGGATACATTTTTTTATCTAATTTTGCCACTCATCTATGACTACCATTTTAGAGATGAATAATATGAGGCTTCGAGAGATCAAAGAATTCTCTCAAAGTCACACAGGTCTTAAGTGGTGGAGCCAGTAACCCAAATGTTATTGTTACAAAGTGTACATTTGTTAATACTATAATACTGTTTGCTTTACTGTTAATTGTTTTAACTTTTCGTTTCAAAATATTATATATTCACAGAACCTTGCAAAAACAGTACATAAGAGTCCCATGTACCCTTCCCCCAGCTTCTTCCACTGGTAACAGCTTATGTAATTTTAATGCAATATCAAAACCAAGAAGCCATATTGGTATGATATTGTTAACTGGACCATGGTGATCATTCAGTTATTGTTATTTATTAATTTATATTACTATAATTGAAAATAAACTATGTTATTTGAGGAGTTAGCCTAGTACAAAAGGAAAATTGCAGGTAATTTACAGATGAAGTCCTGCTCTAAGAATACACGAAACACTGAAAATGAATTTCCATTATAAGTGCAATTGCAGTCTTAAGAGAAGTAGGTCTTAACAAGTTGTGACTACCTGGCATTAAATAAAAGTAGTCACATCACGGATTCAATTTTCTCTTAAGAGCAAGTGTTCAGTACATTCTTTAATATCAAGTGGTCAGTGCCAAACTCGTTTTTTCTCCAAGTCATAAAGTTCAGAGAAGAAATATAAAAATCAATCAAAATGAAAATATAGTGAAATAGAAGGTGTAGACCTGGCACAGTGGCTCATGCCTGTAATCCCAACACTTTGGGAGGCCAAGGCCGGTGGATGACCTGAGGTCAGGGGTTCAAGACCAGCCTGACCAACATGGCGAAGCCCCGTCTGCACTAAAAATATAAAATTAGTCAGGCATGGTGGCTGACACCTGTAATCCCAGCTACTCAGAAGGCTGAGGCAGAACAATCCCTCCAACCCGGGAGGCGGAGGTTGCAGTGAGCCAAGATCACGCCATTGCACTCCACCCTGGGTGACAGAGCTAGAGTCCGTCTCAAATAAAGAAAAAGAAAGGAAGGAAGGAAGGAAGGAGAGAGAGAGAGAGAGAGAGAGGGAGAGAAAGAAAGAAAGAAAGAAAGAAAGAAAGAAAGAAAGAAAGAAAGAAAGAAAGAAAGAAAGAGAAGAAAAGAAAAGAAAGAGAGACAGAGAGAAAGAAGGAAAGACAAAGAAAGAGAAAGAGAGAAAGAAAGAAAGAGAAAGAAAGAGAGAAAGAAAGAAAGAGAGAGAGAGAAAGAAAGAAAGAAAGAAAAAGAAAGAAAGAAAAAGAAAGAAAGGAAGAAAAAAGAAAGAAAGAAAGAAAAGCAAGCAAGCAAGCAAGCAAGCAGGCAAGGCAGGGCAGGGCAGGGCAGGGCAGGGCAGGGCAGGGCAGGGCAGGGCAGGGCAAGGCAGGGCAAAAAGAGAAGGTGTATGAACAGATGTATGTATGTTTCTGAGCAGATTCCTTGAACCATGCATGGCTGAATAGCAAACACTTCAGGTCTTCATGCCCCATGGCAGAAGCCTTAGGATGAATTAAATTAGAATAGAATTTCTACCTTTCCTGTCTCTTTCAACAGCCCCACCCAACAGGATAATCAGTAAAAAAAATTTCCTGGAATGGAAGAATAAAGCTACTTAATTTATCTGACAAATAAAAGAGAAGCAGTCAATATAAATATATTTTGCTATTTTTAAGAAAATAACATTCAGACTAGAAGAGAAAATACAAGTGCATATACATTTTGTATTTGCAGCACTGCTAAATAGTTGCCATAGGATTTCCGCTATTGACAGGCAGATCCCTATTAGTCAATAGGTAATGTTTTTCAGGAAACGTTTTCAAATAAATTGGCTCATAATGATAGCACTCAGAGGAAATAGGAGGTTTATAAAGTACTTCTTACACATTGGGAATATTTTGAAGGATTGAATGGATGTGTGGAGAGGTGAAGTTTCACTATATCATCATCAATAAGACTTAATAAACTATTGGCTCTTTATTTTACAAGACAAAAAGTCAAGAGGAATTAGGAAAGGTGGGTTTTCTGCAGAAGTACAATATATCAGGCACCTATTTTTAGTTTTTAGGGTTTTCCTTCTACATTATTCTTTCATGTTTCTGAAATCAATTTTCTTCTTTCTTTCCATCATTTGTTTTTCCTTCCTTTTTTCCTTCCATTCTCCACTTTGTCATCCCTCCCCCATCAAAATGATTTTACTCATTGCTTTTAGCATGCAACCCCCATTGCTTTAATGTATTCGTCAATTCATCTTAGTTATTTATATGGTTCTATGAGGGCAGAGATTGTACTACATATTCTCAACATGGATTATACTGCTTGGCACACTGGTTACATGTGGCAAAGCAACTGTTAAGCAGACAATTCTAGAAAAACAATTCTGTAAAGCAAAAGTCTGGAAACCCACATGTATTTTACATACCCTACCAAAATCTGGATTCTAAGGAGAGTGATGTTAACTCAAGAGGAGGGGCAGGAGAAGAGAGGGATGTGGGCTCCCATCTGGGCTCCCTTCAGCTTACTTTGGGGCATTTACATCTCCATGATCAATTCTTGTCTGTCATTTTTATCCTCATGAATTTCTTTTGTTATAAGTGGAATCTCAGAATTCAACTCTCCTTCTTCCATGGAAAAGTCCACACATTTATTTGTAAATTGTGTCTAATAATACTATCTTATAATAATAGGAAGAACATTGGCCTGATGTCATGAGTTTTGAGTTCTAGTCCCAGTAGGTCACTTTATGTTGTCTGTGACTTTGGTCCAGTTTTCTTAGCCGTAAAGTGTATCCATCGATGTCCATATTATAGCATTATTGCAACGATTAAATAATATGATGCATCTTAACAGTTTAGCACAGAACCTGGCACAATGTAGAAACTCTTCATTTTAACAGTAATTGTTTCTTTCAACTTTGTCTTATTTTCTTTGCTTTTCTAATCTTTAGACACTTACACTTTCTTTGATGTTCTTTTTGTCAGGTTTATATTGAGTAAAAACTGCCTATATTTCTGTCACTTTTTGCAAAGTAGGAATTTTAAATTGACATTATTAAATATAACGGTATCACAATTTGGAGAAGAAAATAATACTTACCTTGGAGAAAATAGTCTCCATGCAGCATTTTAACTGGGATGCCTTCTTTGGGAGGATAAGTGTGGTCTTTGACATCTGCCTGACTCCATTATATCTAAGGGACCATTGCCAGATCTTGCCCCATACGTGCCTCTTAGAAACATTTGGGGAACTTTAAAAATGGTCTGATTCTTGAGCATTCCCACAGACCAATTAACCAAGAATTTCTGGGCATGGCCATCAGCAATGATAGTTTATTTTTATTAATTTTTCAAATGGCTTAGGTAACTCTAATAGGGCACCATGGCAAAGAACCATTAATATATAAATAAATGTTTCTCAATGTGTAGTAAATTGGCAACATTAATTAGAATTACCTGGGGAGAATTAATAAAGAGTATGAATTCTTGGCACTAGCAAAACTTACTGGATCATAATTTCTGAGAGGGGATACAGGGACAGCTATTTTTACGAGCACTTTAGTTGATGCATAGGTACCATGAAGTTTGGTAGCTAGTATTCTAAAGTTTTTGAAATTGCAGCCTCTATCTGACTTGTAACACCTGCCTTATTAGCACCTGTCTTATTCTGTGCTGCCATAACAGAATAGCACAGACTGGGTAATTTATCAAGATCAAAAATTGATTTCTCATAGTTCTGGAGCCTGGGAAGTGCAAGATCAAGGTGCTGGCATTTGGTGAAGGCATCCTTGCTGCATTTTCACATGGGGAGAAATGCTCTGACCTCACAAGATGGAAGGTAGAAGGGCAAGCTAGCAAAATGCTATGTGAAGCCTCTTCATTAGGGGTCCTGAATACATTCACAGGGGAAGAGCCCTCGTGACCTAATCACTTCTTAAAGGCCCCAGCTCTTAATATAATCATATTGGCAACATGTATGTATTTTTTAAATTAATTATTTCTTTATTTTTTATTGTTACTGAGATGAGGTCTCATTGTGTTGCCCAGGCTGATCTTGAACTCCTGGGCTCAAGTAATTCTCCTGCCTCAGCTTCCCAACCTATGGGATTACAACTGTAAGACATCATGCCTGGCCTTTAAAAAAATTATCTTCTCTTTTTTTTAGTTTTTATTTTTTAATTTGTTGTACGAACAGGGTCTTGCTATTTTTCCCAGGCTGGGAGCATGTAGATTTCAGAGGAGACATCCTCAATCTATAGCAACACCTCTGATAGGTTGTTTATTAGGCATAGAGCTTCCTTTTATTTCTGGACTCAAATTTTCTGCTCTTTTCATGAGAGAGATCACAAGACAGTTTTTTTTAGGGGCATTGGAAGTTTTTGTCCACTATGTTAGGAGCCGACTTCCTTAATCTGCCTACTTTGAATCCTAAGGGAGATTCTGCAAGTATCAGTCAAGTTTCCTAATGCAGATACTTGTGACTTAAGTTCTCCAAAGCTCAGTTTTCTTATCTGTTAAGTACTATCTTTCAAGACTTGCAGGGAAGATGGAACAGAATAAATTTTCAAAGGCCTCAGCACATAGAAAATTCTCAAAAAATGTTAATAAGTCTTTTATAATAATTTCAGTTGTTCTTTAATTCTCTTAATTAAAAAGCAAAAATAAGATTCACCAAAAAGAACAAGTCACACACTGTGAACAGAATGTAGTCACTTTACAAAACAGCTAACTCTTATGTATAACTATATACATACATGTATGTTATATTGCCATATGTTTAAAGATAAATGTATTCATAATTTTATGTACATATGACTATATGTAGTTTATTTTTAAGTAGTATTACACATATTTATATCAATGATATCAAGAAGAGTGGAGTTACAAACACACCAATTAAAAATCTCTCCATTACTGGGGTATTTGTAAAACCCAGGTATAGAGATAGATTATCACATAGTTATATACATTCAATGATGAGTGAGATAATAAATGAAGAAGAGCTGGCTTGAGTTTTACTGTCTGTGTTAGAATTTCAGCTGAATTACTCTTAACTCTGAGATCTTAGAAAATTTACTTAATTACTCTGTGGCTCTGTTTTCTACTCTAGAGGCAGATTGTAACGATTGATTTACCAAATCATGTTGTGAGATGTAAGTAACATAATGTGTAATGAATTTTGGAGGGGACACATTCAACTATAGCAACATAAGGCATAATGCAGTACTTGGCTAAGTGTTACGGAAAACGTCATAAGTGCCAGGCACTCAGTTACTATTAGGAAAGCACTTAGCAGTCTCTATGGTGTAGAGAAAATACTTACTAACAAAGTGTTATCAGCTGAATTGTATCCTCTTCAAATTCATATATGGAAGCCCTAACCCCCTGCACCTCAGAATGTAACTGCATTTAGAGATTAGGCCTTTAAAGAGGAGATTAATTTAAATTAAGGACAGTAGGGTGAGCCCTACTCCAATATGACTGGCTTCCTATAAGGAGGTTTGCACATACAAGAGACACCAGGAATGGGAGAACACAGAGGAAAGACCACGTGAAGACACAGTTAGAAAGCATCCATCTGCAAGCCAGGAAGAGAGGCCTCCAAAGAAATCAGACCTGCCAAAATCTTGATCTTGGACTTCTGGCCCCCAGAAGTGTGAGCAACAAATACATTTACGTGGTTTAAGTCACCTAGTCTGTGGTATTTTGTCACGGTGGCCCTAACAAACTAATACCTAGAGTAACTAAATTAAAAGAATGAATGATGTAGGGATGGGTACCAGAAAGAAACACATTTATTCTCTCTCTCTCTCTTTTTTTTTTTTAACTACTATTCTTCCAAAAAACTTTCCTATCTCCCTTCCTCAGTCATGGACAGAATCAAGCAGATCCCATTGCTTTTTGTTTTTGACACTTTTTGGCATTAAAACCTTCTCATGCATATTTAAATGTCCAATTCCGTGGCATATAAAAACTTAATTCTTTCATCAGTTTAAAAAAAAACTTCATTCTTTCACCAGTTTAAAAAATATTTGCTCCCCCAACCCAGCTCAGTCTCCATAATCCTTAGGCCAGCTTTGTGTGGGTGGAGTCTGAGAAGCTCTTTCACTCTTCCTTCTCTTTCCTTTCTGCTCCTTCCCTCTTACTTAATTTATGGCTCTGACTCCTACAGAAGTTAGAGCAAAGGGGATGAGCGGAAGGGAAAAGGGTAGGGGGATGATTTTACTTAGAAGTGCTCTACCTTTCTCTTGTGTGTTAAATACGCTGGTGTGAACCCCACAGCTATTCCCCTCCTGCCATGGAGCCTCTATCACCACCTGAGGCCGGTGCTGCCCTCTCCTGTTGGCCTCTTGCAATTCCCTTTCAGCTCCTGCTCCAGTGATCCTCTTGGGTGGAATCATTCAAGGAACTTCAGCTGGGGGGTCCCTTCTGTGCTGTCTACTTGCCTCATTCTTGGCATGCTGGTCCCTGAAAATGCATCAGCTCCCTCCACTCCACTAGCTGTCCTGTGACAATCCTGCGGGTTCCTGAAACTCAGCTCTCCTTCTTCTATGGCTGAGTTTCTAGTTTCCTGTGCTGCCAGGCAGCTCCACTCTCCAACAGAAGTTGTTCTCTTTGAGCCCAACTCTCTTGCCTTGATTGGATATATCCGAGAACACAGAGCACTCTCTTTGGCCTAAAGCTTTACAAAGACATCTCTGATGTCTGCCAATATTTCTGTAAGCTATTATCACCTACAGTCTGGAGTTTGGCATTGGTCTGAGATTCTATACTGATGGTACATTGGTTCTGCATTGGCTAATAGGGGTTCTGTACTGATGGTGTAATACCCTTTTGTAATTTGGAGTACTAATTATTCAATGCTTGCAGATGAAGCCAACAAGGAAATGCCCGTTATTATCCTTTTATACTCTCTATGAACATGATGAAGAACTGACAGAGTTCTCAGCCTCTAGGCTTGTGTATTTCTCTCTCCTGTCACAGGACTTTGCAATCTGTGGATTTTAAAAACCCAAGAAGGCCAGGTAATTACAAAAAGCATTTGTAACGTATTTCTTTTATTTATGCCCATAAAGAGGACAGAAGATCTTTTGATTTTAAATATGCACAGAAAGATTGTCTGAGAAAAAATAAGTAAGATATTTCCCCCTTATTAATTCTATTTTGAAAGTGTCTGCAGATGCAATATAGATGTGTGCAATGAAGAACACACATATTTTACTTGTACATCTCCAAAATAATTATATGAATTTAGAATTCCTTTCAAACAATGTTAGAAGTGCTCTATGATTATTTTAGACCAGGATGTATTTGTTTATTTTCTAAAGGTGTCTCACATTTCCCAGGAATATGGGTCTAATTTACATAGCATAAAGAATGCTATTTGAAAAGTTTTTGCTGATTTTGATCACAATGACTTCAAGGCAATGATTCCTCCTGCAGACCCCAGACATTTACTTAAACGGTAATCTATGAAGAAAACTCAGCTAGTCATACTTTTTATTAGATAGTTCTGGGAAAGTAATTGCTTAGGCACTAGTGTTCTGGGTTACCATAGTACTGTGAGTGGTGACTCACCAGAACTCTCCCTTCACAAAGACTCTAAGTCCTTATTGTCTTTATCATCACCGACAGCGTTTTAAGAGAGAGGGATATGGGGTGTCAATCTCATGTTTCATATTTAGTTCCTGGATATAGTTTGACCCCCTATCTGCAGCACTCAAATTCTGAAATTCTGAGCTCCCGGTTGTCAAAAGAGGAAAATCTATCTATCATCTATCTATCTATCTATCTATCTATCTATCTATCTATCTATCTATCTATATAATTCCTTAGAGAACCTTGCAAACTTTCATGTCTCTCACTTTCTCTTTTTTTTTTTTTTTTCAGCGAGAGTCTCTCTCTGTCACTTAAGCTGGGGTGCAGTGGTACAGTCAGAGGAGCTGGAGTTACAACTCCTGGGCTCAAGGTATCCTCCTGCTTCAGCCACCCAAGTAACTAGGATCACACACATGCACTATCACACCCAGAAATTTTTCAGTTTTTTTGTAGAGACGATGCCCTGCTATGTTTTCCATGCTGGTCTTTAACTACTGGCCTCAAGTGATCCTCCTGCCACACTGCACTCAGCTTCTCTCTCACACTCTTGGTCTCTCCGCTCATGCTCTCTCTCACACTCTTGCTCTAGCTCCCACTTTTTAATGCATGCAATTACATCAGTGTCATATGTACAGCCATTAGAAATCACAGTTAAACAGAGATGCATAACGTGGTAGAAAGACTATATGACTTGAATCAGAAGAGTTGTCTCAAAGCTGCATCATTTATTTGCTGAGTGAATTAGATGAGGTCTTTCACTTCCTGGAGTCTGTTTTCTCTCCTGTAAAGTGGACTTGCTAGTACCTCCCGGGAAGGTTGTAAGGATCAAATAAGTCTGGAGATGAAAAAGGTCCCATGGTTTCTGGCTGGCCTGCCATTCTTCTACTGATGATTCTGAAATTTCAAAGCTTGAGGTAGATGAAAGGAGCCATACCAGAGGAGGCCGAGGGATGTTGCATGTCTGCGGGGTGCCTTGGTGGCCACGGATTGTGTGACAAGACTGCAGTGGCTACAGATCCTGACGTACATATGGGGACATAAGACGTCAGCTAAACGAGTTAGCACATATTCAATGCTTGCTCTGTGCCAGACACTGTGACTCTTTTGGCAGGCTATAGCTAATTTAAATCTCACAACAAAGATACACGTTATTATTATTTTTCTCTTTGCAGAGGGGGTTACTGCACACAAGGAGGTAAATAACTTGCCAAGAGTCACAGAGAAAATAAACTATGCAGTGAATCTCAGATTAAAACCCATATCAGCCTGAATTTAGATCATCATTAGAAATATACCTAGTTTCCCCTTTACAGTTAGTAAGTATTTGATGGGGAGTTACTTCAAATCTATGCACATAGTTCAATTCTCATATAACTTTCAATCTATTTATTAATTCAAATGAAAGTGTGGATTTGTTGTTTCTTTTTCTGCTCAATGGATAAATTTGTTACTGTCTTACCTACTTTGATTCTCAGACTTTCCCAGATTTGGCCAGTGATATCCCCTTCAAATGAGCCTTCTGTGTGCTTTTGAAATGCTCTTACAGGCCAGGTGCAGTGGCTCACGTTTATAATCCCAGCACTTTGGGAGGCCGAGGCCGGTGGATCATCTGAGGTCAGGAGTTCAAGACCAGCCTGACCAACATGGTGAAACTCCGTTTCTACTAAAAATAAAAAAAAATAGATGGGTGTGGTGGTGGGTGCCTGTAATCCCAGCTACTCAGGATGCTGAGGCAGGATAATTGCTTGAACATGGGAGGCAGAGGTTGCAGTGAGCCGAGATCGTGCCACTGCCCTCCAGCCTGGGTAACAGGGTGAGACTCAGTCTCAAAAAAAAAAAAAAAAAGAAAGAAAGAAAGAAAGAAAGAAAGAAAAAGAAATGCTCTGTCGTCTGTTTTGTCTGTTAGTCCCTCCTTACTCTCTGGCAAAACAAGATGCTGCAGGCTCATTTTTTATGCTCTCCTCCACTTGCTTGGACTCTGACATCCTGCCCCATACTACACAGCTGCCTTTGACATGGCACAGATGCCTACCTGACTCAGTCTCATCTGAATTATCTGAGAGGAAAAGAGAAGGAAGGAAAAGAGGAAGAAGAGGAGAATGCACAGAGTTTCAGTAGCTCTTACGACTGGAAAAAAAATTCTGGACAAACATTATCGCACGAAGGTCAGACAGGTCATGGTGTGTTAAAAATCACTATCCTATCACATTAAATACCTGTAAAGTGTAAGCTGGCTCAGTAGCAAGAATTGAGGCTAAAGAGGTAGGCTGGCCCCAATCTGTGAAGGACAGTGAGTTTCTATCATGCAGAGAAGCTGTGTCTGCCGCATTAGATGCTCAGTAAATATTTAATGAATGAATTTTGAATGGATGTTATACATCAACAATTATCAATAAGGACTGGCCTGGAGAGAGATATAGCCAGTGAGTCCTAGAAACACCATTTGGTTCCAGAGCAAATTTCCTCACCTTGGAAACAGGAAAACAAATCATTAAGTTTTGCCCCCTACCTCCCGGGAATCATTCCTAATTCCTGCCATCTTTTAAGTTAGATGCTCACCAACATTTCTTCCTGCAATACCTTATGCATATTTGTGTCTCAACACTGAATCATTGAGGTTGGGATTAATTTCTTATAACAGGAAAATCCAAATAACTATAGCTTGAAAAAGACAGAAATTTATTCATTTCTCTTATAAAGAATACTACGAAACATTGTGACCTTCAGGATCCATGTCCTTCTAGGTTGCTACCCTCTAATTCTCGATATGTCACCTCGTAGTCCAATATGGGCACTTGAGCTCCAGATATTTCTGGACAGTAACAAATTTATCCAGATATTTCTGGATTCCAGAAATCATTAAAAAGAAAAGGATAAAGAAAAGTGGGCTAATTCTCTATAAAACAATTATTTGAAATTAAAGATGAAACTAAGTTTTTTAAAAAATTAATTTAACTGCAAGTAGTTACACGACCCTACCTCATGACTTAGTCTGCTCCTGCTGCTGTAACAAAATAACATAGACTGGGTGATTTATAAATAACAAAAATGTGTGTCTCACAGTTTTAGGGGCTGGGAGATACAAGATCAAGGTGTCAGCAGATTTGATGTCTGGAAAAGGCTTGCTGTCTGCTTCCAAGATGGTGCCTTGGTGGTGCATCATCTTGTGACCGAAGACATGGAAGGACAAAGAGGGCAGAAGGCATTAGAGCACTCCCTTCAACCTCTTTTGTAAGAGCAGCAATCTCATTCATAAGGGTGGATCCCCCAAGGCCGAATCACCTCCCCAGGGGCGCACATCTCAATAACATCACCTTGGAGGTTAAGTTCCAACATTTGAATTTTGGAGGGACACATGCATTGAAGCCATAGCACCTCACTACATAGAAGAGTAGAGAATGTCATTTGAACTTCTGGTTTCCACTAGCCTATATAAATATCAGGGATTCCTTTACTAAGGAAAAGAAGTGGAATGGATTTTGGGGTGCAAATAATAGTCTGTGCTGAAAACATTTATTTACATAGGTGTCAGCAGCATATGTTTATATATCTATCACTCCCAGGTTGGCTTGTTTATTAGCTCATGTATTCATTTATAAATTTATTCATTTATACATTTATTCATTGAACAATCATGTATTCAGTATCAACTGTAACTTACAATTTTTTTGAAGTGTGGTGAGGAAGACACATTTCAGTATATTAAAGACAATATTAAGAGTTATTTCAATATATGGATAACTATAAATTTCCCCTGTATTCCCAGCACTTCCTTCAGTCTCTAACAGAGGGTAGGCATTACAAAGACTGTTGTTATTTAAATGATTAAATTCAAGAAAAGATTAGGAGCAACATAGAGTTCTCTACAAAACAATGTTCAAGAAGACTATATATAGGTAAAAATAAGAAGCCATTGTCTGAAGGCAAGAGTGCCTGAGTTTAACTTCCACCTCTGTCACTTACTGGATGACCTTGAGAAATTATTTAACTTTCCTTAGAATGGGAATAATAACAGTTATTCCTTATAGTGTTTCAAGGTGATGCGGCAGGTGCATAAAGAGTGAATGGTATTTTGCCTTTTTTTTTTTTTGGAAGGCAATCTGTTTATTGTCAGGATTTTGATAACTCATCACCAATCATTTGTGGTGCTATTTGTAAATGAAATGAAAAATCTCATTTTCTCTGTTCTCATTCTGGTTTTAGGTAACTTAGGTAAAAACGTATATATGAGCCAGTGATTTCACCAATAGTTAGTAGAGATGTTTGCAACAGCAAAACCTGCCCAGAGATGGAGGATGGGCACACAGTGGGTTATTATGGGGATGTTACATTTATTTTTATTTTTTTTAAGATTAAAAAAACTCCCATAGCTTTTGGTGTACTAGTGATTTTTGGTTACATGGATGAATTCTACGGCAGTGAACTGAGATTTTAATGCTCCCATCACCTGAGCAGTGTACACTGTACCCAATATGCAGTCTTTTATTCCCCTCTTCACCCCACAAGTTTCCAAAGTCTATTATCCCACCAGAGGAGTGAAGGGCACATTATAAACATTCAATATGTTTCATGATTTTCTAGGATAAAGTATTTTTCTTCCCCTTTCTTATACTACTCTTTCAAATCAAACTCAGGCTGATTCTATTGAGCCCAGCCTTAACCCTTTAGTGAGAAAATATCAAAACCATCTGTAGCCTAGTGGTAAAATATGTTTGCAGGCCTGGTGTGGTGGCTCATGCCTGTAATTCCAGCAGTTTGGGAGGCTGAGGCGAGCAGATCACAAGGTCAGGAGTTCAAGACCAGCCTGACCAACATGGTGAAACCCCATCTCTACTAAAAATACAAAGATTAGCCCAGAGTAGTGGTGCACACCTGTAATCCCAGCTACTCAGGAGGTTGAGGCAGGAGAATCGCTTGAACCCAGAAGGCGGAGGTTGCAGGGAGCCGAGATCACACCATTGCACCCCAGCCTGGGTGACAGAGCTAGACTCCATCTTAAAAAAAAAAAGTTTGAGGCATGACGAGGAGAGGAATATTACCTTGCTCCTTGCGCTGCTGTCACTCTGCCAATTGCTTAGTTTAAAATGCTATGAAAAAGAGGCATCCTTTTCAAAGTCATGTTTTCTTGCTCACATTAAAGCTGCTCCCCAGCTTTAATTTAGCTCCCTAAATTAGGTTGTTTGTATCCTATAATGAAAACAAAAACACTAAAAGAGTTTAGAGGGAAAGGGGAAATCTTGAAAACGATGATAGGGCAGTATATAATGGGATACGATGGGAGTTTTTATTTCACTTACGTTTGAAATCCAGAAACCCTAAGATCTTTCACGAAATCACATCCCCTCTTTTCTTCTCTTCTTTCTCTCTTAAATTAAAAGAATCTCTCTGTCACTATATCTCTTTCTTTTTCCTTGCTGTATTGTTTTGGAAAAAAAAAAGAAGAGGCAGTTGGCTCCTACAAAGCAGGGTTCCAAAAATAATTCATCACCTCAATAATGTTATTCTGCTAAAGAGCATCCAAGAAAGTAGGAAGAGAAATATACCTTGAAGTCTTAGGAAAAAAGAAAAGAACCAATGCGTGTTGGTCACCTGCTGTTTGTCCTGACTGTTGCCAAATAGTGGATTGGAATGCTGGCTCTGTGTTTGAGATGCCAGCATTTAGACCTAAGTTCCGTTACTGAGTGACTTTGAGGAAGTTGCTTAATTTATCTGTCTCTTAGCTTCTTCAGCTGCAAAATGGGTTTAATATTTACCTAATTCTGAAATGTGACAGGCATGCAAAATAATCATTCCCTGTCAGATACATAACTTGGGCTTAAAAAAAAATAGGTACTGTATTTAAATCCCATTTAGCAGGAGAGGGTAGTGGCTAGAAGAAATTCAAAGCCTCGGATATAAGTTGGGATTTGGATTTGAATAAAAGACTACAGAATTCCAGAGCCATCACCCTTAACCCTGAAGGCTTGGTTCTGCTCATTAAATTCATCTAAAAGACAAACAAACAAACAAAACCCACAAATACTTGGGCTCTATCTCCAGATATTTTCATTCAGTTGTCACTAGTTTCAAACTTTCGCAAATGATTTTAAAATGAGAAATGCAAATCAGAACCACAATGAGATACCATCTCACAACAGTTAGAATGGCGATTATTAAAAAGTCAGGAAACAACAGATTCTGGAGAGGATGTGGAGAAATAAGAATGCTTTTACACTGTTGGTGGGAGTGTAAATTAGTTCAACCATTGTGGAAGACAGTGTAGTGATTCCTCAAGGATCTAGAACCAGAAATACTATTTGACCCAGCAATCCCATTACTGGGTATATACCCAAAGGATTATAAAGTGTCTACTATAAAGACACATGCACAGGTATGTTTATTGCAGCACTCAATAGCAAAGACTTGGAACCAACTCAAATGCCCATTAATGATAGACTGGATAGAGAAAATGTGGCACATATACACCATGGAATACTGTGCAGTCATAACAAAGAATGAGTTCATGTCCTTTGCAGGGACATGGATGAAGCTGGAAACCATCATGCTCAGCAAACACACACAGGAACAGAAAACAAAACACCAGATGTTCTCACTCATAAGTGGGAGTTGAACAATGAGAACACATGGACACAAGGAGGTGAACATCACACACAGGGGCCTATAGGGGGGTGGGGGACTAGGGGAGGGATAGCATTAGGAGAAATACCTAATGTAGGTGACAGGTTGATGTGTGCAGCAAACCACCATGGCATGTGTGTACCTGTGTATTAAACCTGCACTTTCTGCACATGTATCCCAGAACTTAAAGTATATGTTTTTAAAAAGTACATATAATAGAGGAAAAAAATGCAGCCATATTTGAGAAGCATTGCACTTAAATCTAATTTTTAAAAGGTAGTGTGTATCCGAAATCACCCAGAGAGCTCGTTAAAGCACAAATTCGAGACCCAGCCCTCAGGGTATCTGATTCGGTAGGTCTTGAATGGAGTCTGAGCTTTTTGTTTGAACAATCGCACAAGTAATGCTGGTTTTTGGTCTGGGCACTCCTCTTTGAGAGCCACTGCTCTTGACACTTCTGCTTTCACTAAAATGAATGCTTTTCCAGAAATGCTCTTTGATCCACCATACAATTAGGTCCCAGGTATGACTACTCCAGTGGTTCCCAGATAAGTCCAAGTAGACAGAAATAAAACCAGTGTCAAGTAGCTGGACTTTTTCTTCATTATGTCTCATCTACCCGCCTGCAAAACTCAGTGCTTTGTAAAAATAATTCGGTTAAGCAATTACATTTTGGGCATACTTATTTCTGAGCACTAGTGAACTATTTTGTATTGGTTGGTGAGGTCCTTGGGATATTGTCAGAGTCAAATTATTCACAACAGCGCTTCTATTTGTGTCATGAACAACACTCACAGGGATTTGTCTAGTGGTGGTCATTTGACTGACACTAAGACATCCAGTGGAGAGCTTGGGCAGAGAAGTTTCCTCAGGATAGATCGTTCCCTACTTGGAGGACTATAATTCTGATGCAAATACGAAGCTATCACTGCAAGTGCTCTCTGGAACAAATAAACAAGTCCATCAAAAACACCTTTGCAAAAATTATAACTGAGGAAATGATGACATTGAAAGAGATCAGACCTAACCGGCTCCATCTTGCTTCTAACCTTTAAGCTGTCTTTGTTCATTCTGGGACATAGGCGGAACTAACCTTGGGAAGCAATTTAGTTTATGATTTGACTGAAACAAAATTGATAATAGCCCTCTCTCAAAAAGACCCATTTCTTGCCTGGGGACTAGTCTGCCTTTGTAGGTCTAACAAATTAGCGACAACATCAGATATTACAGTTTAGGGGTCATGCAGCCTCTGGCTGCAAGAGTCTGAAGCTCCCTAAATTGCTCCTGGGGATAATATCACTATTGTAAAACCTAAGATCAGTGCTTGAAATATTTTGTAGAACCTGCACTCAATGGATCAGCTGACACCACCCAGACTGGTAATCTGGCCAACCAGTTCTGCAATTCCACCCAGGAACAAAGACAGCAAGAAAACTTCACTTCAACTTCCCTATGCTTCCATTGTCAACATGAACTATCAGCACTTCCCACTTCCCAGGCTTCTATCCACTAAATTATCTTTAAAAACTCCTATCCCCAAATGCTCAGAGAGACTGATTTGAGTAATAATAAAACTCTGGTCTCCCATGCAGCCGGCTCTGTGTGGATTACTCTTTCTCCACTGCAATTCCTCTTTCTTCATAAATCGTCTCTGTCTAGGCAGCAGCCAAGGTGAACCCGCTGAGTGGTTACACATCATAAAGTTCTCAAGAAGTGGTCAAGAATTTTGCATTTGACTGAAATGACTTAGAAATCAATATAATTAAGTCATACTGAGATAGGTACTTGTACTTACCCAATTTCAAAAATTCAGAATTATCTCCAGGCTTTAGATAGATGAATTTTAACTTTCTGCCATTGGTAGTGGCCATGATATAAATATATGTAGATATTCCATATGAAAAAATGTAAGGAGGTGATGTACACTTAAGATTAATGCCAAGTATCCTTGCAAAATTGAATTTTAACTCTGTCTCTTCCACCTAACAGCACTGTGAAACTGGACAAGTCATGACACCTCTCCAAAGTCCTATTTCTGATCACAAAGTGATGATAATGATAATTAACTTACAGAACTGTTGCAAGGATTCAGAGAGATAACATAAAATGAGCACTTAATATGTAGTATGTTGTACATAATATTTAATACTATTTATTGACCATTTATTGTTATAGATATTATATACATAAGCAAGTAATCTTTGTTTTATACACAAAATGTAATACAGAAAATATTTGCTAATACATTAAGCCAATATGTAAGGGGGTGCTTTTAAATATTGTGGTTTTATCTCTAGTTATTGAGTTTTTATTGAGCAAAATAGCTTTCATCTTAAGCACAGGGGTGGGGAGTGTTGTGCATTGATTTAGTCAATAAGAGGCACAAAGTGAGCAAGTCAGAGGACAGTGGTACAGAGATGGAGTTGTCAGAAACCACTCTTGTTCTGAGAGACTCATTTTTCTAATGTGATAATTGCTATTTATTTTATAGGCTTGCACATGACATATCTCCACTGAAACTGCTTCTAATTCTGCTTTTATTATTAACCTCACTTTTCAATTCTTTGTCGACCTTGGGCAAGACTATTTTCCTCTTCATAGCATCAATAGAAAAGCTAGTTCAAGTTTGCTTTAAAAGAAATTAATCTCAAAGCTATTTCAACATTTTAAAAGGACCTTGTATGAGAATGTTAATAGCTGCTATTAGGCTTGGAATCAGTCCTTCCCTAAGAGGGAAACAAAAGTGCAGGTTTAGTGTCATTTGATCGGAGAAACTAATAGGATGGCTATAAAATGTTGCTATAGAGTGGCTTTGTGCAGTAGAAAGATCTGACAGAGAGCAGCATGCCCAGCTATCACATTTTTTTAGCTGTGTGAACTTAGACAAATTTCTAAACCTCTCTGTATCTCTTTTCTTCATCTGCAAAATGTAACTACATTTCACTCTTTTATGTCAGTTTCCTGAACCTATTCTCTGAAGCATATGCGAGAAAGGAAGGAAGGAAGGAAGGAAGGAAGGAAGGAAGGAAGGAAGGAAGGAAGGAAGGAAGGAAGGAAGCCAGGGAGGGAGGAAGGGAGGAAGGGAGGGAAGGAGGGAAAAAGAGAGGAAGGGAAAGATTGACAAAAGATAGAGAGACCGAGACAGAGAGAATGAATAATGGCATACGTAATGTGATAAGGATGCATATTATGCAGAGACAAAAACAAACTATGTTAAATTAGAACTTATTAGCAATATCCAGGACTCTTCATCACAACACCCTTGACTTGTATTCAAGTTTCACGTTTTGGGCTCCCAAATACACATGTCTTTTCAAGTTTTTTCTGGAGATAGGCATAGAAGAAGGAAAGAGAACATTGATTGAGCGCCTGCAATGTTCAAAGCATGAAGTACAGTTAAATTTAACCATCACAACAATCTTAGGAAGGGCCTTTTCAGTCGCCAGTGTTGCAAAGTGGAAGTCAAGGTTAGCAGAGTTGACGTGAAGTACCTGGGGTTACAGAATGGGTAAAAGAGAAATCCATGATTGTAAACCAATTTGGCTTCTAAGACTGCATAGGAACTACTATAGGATTTTGTGCTGTATTTCCCAAGAGTCCAGAATATTAAAAAATAATTCAACACACCATGACAATAGGTCATCTCAAAATCCCGTAATAATGTGTACTAGACAAGAGTGTAGAAATTGTTTTAAAGTGTCTTTTGAAGGAAATCCTCCTCATGCTCACTCAGGCTTCTTTCAGATGGAACCACTTGCAGAAAGTTTACAGATCAAGTGACATTCTAGGCAATTAAGGCCTCATACAGCCTAGGAATGATGCAGTAGTTTTCAAAAATAATTTCCACTGTGGCAGAAATGCAAATTGATTGAAGTTACAATGTCACTCAAAAACCTTGCTAGTCTTTCTAAGAATGACATTAAGCAGTGTGACAGACAATTGACGAGGACAGACATTTCAATGGAGGTTGACGGAGGGACGGTGATGCTTCAAGAAGAGAAAAAGTGATCTGGTGAGAAATATGCATAATGAATGATTGTTTTCTTTCCATTCTTTTCCTTTCTGTATTTTTAAATATAGGTGTCAATATATTCTTTTCTAATTTTTTTAAAATACAAAAACCTGCTTTTATATTTATCTTTTAGGAACTCAAATAGTAATTACTGGGCTTTGCATTTAAGCAAAAACACCTTAATTAAATAAAACAGAGCTTATAAAATAGAACATATGGTGCCATCTGCAGAATAGTGCTTAGAATTTGGGGAAAATGTGGAGATGACTGCATTTTTTGCATCTACAACATGCTCAAAATAAGGAGCTTAGAGTTGTTTTTTTCTTGAACGCTCTGAAGTTGGAAAATTTCTGACTGGCTTCTCATTATAAAACCAAATGAGCATGGATAAGGTTGTGACCACATACTACTAGAACCTGAGGCCTAGAAAGAAAATTCTAATGGTAAATTTTATAAACAAGAAACCTGGGGCACAGGTGGGCAAAGAGGGTTACCATCTTTCTTTAATGAGCACATGTCAGAACTTGGACTGAAATTCAAACCTTGCTCATTCTGCTCCACATCACTGCTACTCATTCAAGAGACTGCTTTCCAGTAGAGATGCAAAGTTCTTCTGATCAGTTTCTGAACTCCACTCTGGAGAAAGAGCAGTCGTTTAAATTACTATAATACATGTAGACATTTATGCAGCCAAAAAACACATGAAAAAATGCTCATCATCACTGGCCATCAGAGAAATGCAAATCAAAACCACAATGAGATGCCATCTCACACCAGTTAGAATGGCAATCATTAAAAAGTCAGGAAACAACAGGTGCTGGAGAGGATGTGGAGAAATAGGAACACTTTTACACTGTTGGTGGGACTGTAAACTAGTTCAACCATTGTGGAAGTCAGTGTGGCGATTCCTCAGGGATCTAGAACTAGAAATACCATTTGACCCAGCCATCCCATTGCTGGGTACATACCCAAAGGACTATAAATCATGCTGCTATAAAGACACATGCACACGTATGTTTGTTGCAGCATTATTCACAATAGCAAAGACTTGGAACCAACCCAAATGTCCAACAATGATAGACTGGATTAAGAAAATGTGGCACATATACACCATGGAATACTATGCAGCCATAAAAAATGATGAGTTCATGTCCTTTGTAGGGACATGGATGAAATTGGAAATCATCATTCTCAGTAAACTATTGCAAGAACAAAAAACCAAACACCGCATATTCTCACTTGTAGGTGGGAATTGAACAATGAGATCACTTGGACACAGGAAGGGGCATATCACACTCTGGGGACTGTGGTGGGGTGGGGGGAGGGGGAGGGATAGCACTGGGAGATATACCTAATGCTAGATGACGAGTTAGTGGGTGCAGCGCATCAGCATGGCACATGTATACATATGTAACTAACCTGCACAATGTGCACATGTACCCTAAAACTTAAAGTATAATAAAAAAAAATACATGTAATTCAATTGATTCCATTGTGATACATTGAATCCACTTCACTTCAATACAGCTGATGTTTGTTGCCCACTCACGATGCGCCAATAAATTTCCTGGGATACATAGAGGAAAATAAGTTAAACTCCTGCCTGTATCAGAGTTTCTTATCTAAACAATGCACGCTGTTGTTTTATAATTATGTCTTCTAGAAACTTGGCTGTTATAATTAGTTTTAAAAAATGTACTATGACAAAAATAAAGTGCTTAAAAGCCAGCAAATGTTCAGCAACAGGATTTCTGTTCTATATACTACAGCAAATTGTACATCAAGAAGTGGTCAAACAAGAGAGTGTCTCCTTCACCTCTACATCTGATAATCTATTCTGAAGAGAGAATCTATAAGCTACGAACTTATGAATCTTACAAGATGATTCATTTTCCTTCCTCTCTTATGAAGACCTGGTTGGGAAATCAGGAGAAGCACAGAGAATCCTGCTCCCCCTTCAGAGGTACTCAAGAAAATGTCAGTATTGCAGTGTAAAATAAGATCCAGGCAACAAATAGGTTTTCAAAATATAGGGTCTTGATATTCAATAGTGAGAATAAGAAGGAAGTAAGGAAGTTGCATGGAAAAGCTTTCAAACTTTTACCTTGGACATGTATTCCCCTGATTAATAAGAAACAAGAGGGAGGAATGTTAGTGTTCATGGAAGATTTTCTTTCCTTGCTGTCCAACACCATTTTGATTGAGAGTATGAAGAAGATCTTTAGTCTTCAATAAAATCACACAAGAAAAATTACATGCTAATATGAGCTCGGGTTTTGGCTACTTTTTGCCGCCTACCTCACAACCTTGTGAGGTGGAGTACTTAATAAAAGTGGGCTTTGAAGTTAGATGTCAGGGTCCCAATCCCAGGTTTCCTTGTTAACAGCTGTGTGTCCCTGGAAAAGTCATTTCTATGGATCTCTTTCATTAGTAGGCAAATAGTAGATAATGCTTCTTAGAGTGCCCATATTTTTTGACTCATAAGAAAAGAAATGCAGTCTGGGAACAATGCAAATGACTGAAATTAAGGCTATTTTAGAAAATCTAAAAAGATAATTATATACATATTATATATTGCTCTAATATTTGTGAACATGGTAATCATATAGTTATTTATAAAAATATGAACAGTCTGTGATTGGTAAAGAAACAGAAATCATAAAGTACTTTGCCCAAGATCAGAGTTAAAAGCATAATTTCCAGAGCAGGAGTCTAAATCTTGGCCCCATTATTTGCAAACCATGTGGCCTTGGAGGACTTATCACATCTTAGGCTCAGTATATACATATATAAAAAATATATATACATATATATAAAATTTATTTATAGAAAATATGTATAGTGTTTACATCTACTTTATAAGGTTATTGTGAATGTTGAGAAAAAATACAAATGCATTAAGCATAATGCCTGGCACATAGTGATTAATAAGACTTATTATTATTATTATTACCAATCTTTGCTCATATCCCAAAGTATAGTAATCAGTGATTTACTGGTGCTCATCAAGTTTGCTGTCTTTTAGGGAAAGTATTATTATCATTATTTTCAATTTTTTAAATTTTGGATTCAAGGGATACATATTCAGGTTTGTTACATAGATACATTGCTTATGTAATAGTGGGATTTGAGGTTCTAGTGTACACATTGCCCAAATAGTGACCATTGTACCAAATAAGTAATTTGTCAGCCTTCACCCCATTCCCAACCTCCCCCTTTTGGAGTCTCCAGCATCTATTTTCCCCATCTTTATGTCCATGTGTACCCATTGGCTCCCACATATAAGTGAGAACGTGAGTATTTGATTTTATTTCTGCGTTGCTTCACTTGAACTTTGCCCCTCAAGACCCTTAACGGCATCCCTAGCAAACAGTAAGATCTGATGAGTATTTGTTTGATGATAAAACAATGAGTTGTCAGCAAAAGGAACAATATTTAACCTAGTTTTTCTCTCACTAGTAAATTTTCAATTAGTTTCCATTACTATATTTAGAATGCCTGCATAATGAGAGCAGAATGCTAGCTTTATGCCCTTGAGTGAATCATTTTCTCTTCAACCTTCTTAATTTACTGAAGCAAAAGAATGGATTGGATAAACACGTAAGTTTTTTGAGAAACCTCTGCTGAAAACTCAATTATAAATCATTGGGCTTTTAATTTTATTTACGTGTTTAGATTTTGAATGTTAAACTTATTTGTGAAAATCATTCTCTGTTAAGACCTTTTAAATATAATACCATTTTGCTTAGATGGATTTCACAATTTCATTTCAAGTGAAAAATAATATAATCCATTTATATATATGATCAAGTTTTAGTGCAATAGCTCTTACCGGAATTATGAAAATTCATTGAATTAACTTTTCTTTAAATTGCAGCATGTCTCCTCAACACTGTCCTGAGGAAAACAGAAGCTCACTTTGGTGTAAGAGAAAATTATTACTAGGCAATTCTGTTGCATGTTATTTAAGTTGGTATACAACTATGTATTTTTTTTCAAGTCCCAACAAACGACAGCACCCAATTACTGTGACCCACGTGAGTTGTTTGTCTGGCACTTCCCTGGTTTTAGTATTGAAATTCTTAAATTCAGAGAAACACCTCAGCCCTGGGCAAATCATAGTAGCCAGTAACCCTAAATGAAATAAAAGAAAATGGAAGTATCTAGAACAGTGATTTTTAATTAAGGAGGTTTTGCCCCCAAGGGGACACTTACCAATACTTAGAGGCATTGTTGGTTGTCAGGACTTTGGAGGAGTAGCTGCTACTGGCATCTGTGAGGTAGAGGCCAGGGATGGTACTAAATATCTTACAAGACACGGGACAGGCTCCACAACAAAGAACCATCTGATCCAAAATGCCAATAGTGCCACTCTCTTTTTTTTTCTTTTTTCTTTTTTTTTTTTTTGAGACAGAGTCTCGCTCCTCTCTTGCCCAGGCTGGAGTGAAGTGGGGTGATCTCGGCTCACTGCAATCTCTGCCTCCCGGGTTCAAGCAATTCTCCTGCCTCAGGCTCCCAAGTAGATGAGACTACAGGCATGCACCACCAAGCGCTGCTAATTTTGGTATTTTTAGTAGAGACGGGGCATCACCATGTTGGCCAGGCTGGTCTTGAACTCCTGACTTATGACCCACCCACCTCGGCCTCCCAAAGTGCTGGGATTACAGGCATGAGCCACTGTGCCCGGCCAGTAGTGCCACTCTTATGAAACCTTCATGGAAACACTTAAAATGCTTCTTTGATGCTCTAGAAGGTTTTTGCTTCCTTGATCAAAGTGTAGTTCTATCCATATTTTTTTCTTTTTAAAATATTTATAGGTTTAACATGGGAATTCTTTTTTTTTTTCCTTAAAGTATATTTCTTATTTCTGAAAAAAAAAATCTTACTTTTTGGCCTCATTATAAATGAAATCAATTTTGTTGTTTTAAGTAGGATATATCTGTTGTTTTTTTTCCTCCAGTTTTGTGCCATTAAACCAGCAAACCCTATTTTCCCACTATAGTAACTTCAGGAAACTGACATTTTAACATCTTGCATTAAGGATATCACCCTCTGTAATCAATTGCCTTCATCCTGATAAAGACTTCACTGGTACTGTCTCCCTTATTCTAAAACCTTGGCTCTTCACTGTCCCTACTGGAGGTCTCTCTGGGATCCGTCACTCATTCAGAAGTATACAGTACCACATTTTAAATTCATTGTTCTACATGCATTCTGATTCCACTCAGTTCTTGGCTCAAATTTTCCAGATATAGGCAGAGTACGGTAGATACTGTGGTGCTCTGCCCAAATTCCTCTTCAGGGTCCAAGCCTCCATGCCCCAACTCCTGGCAATACTGGCTGTCAGTAGCTCACAGCCTTGTACTTCACTGGGCATTTTCTCAGCCACAAGTGGTGCTTGGCTGATGCAGAGGTGCACAGGTCCAGCACCTTGACTCAATGTTGGATGACTCTAACGGGCCAGTCCAGCCTCAGAGTCCTGTAGGATTTTCTGAGGCCTCTATTGTAATTTTGTTTTAGGCTAGCATTTTTCTCTGCCCAATTCTGCCTTCCTCATTTTCTTACAGGTGCAATATCTGAGAGCACTCCCAAGTTAACCCTCTGTATGCAACTCCCCATCACACGGTATCTTTCCAGGGAACTTACTCTGCATTGCTCAGTGACCCAGCCCCAGGTTCACAGAATCCCTCCTTATGAAGTCCTTTGTGGCTGAGTCCTAACGTTGCTTATTCTTGCCCCATTGTTAAGAAGAGTACATTTCAACTAGCATCTCTGCATGGTATATTCAGGATGAAAAATAAGACAAAACACCTGAAATTCTTACATAAAATTGAGTCTGCCTTACCACAAACTCCATTAAATCACTGAATAGTAAAAGTTTAGGATATCAGTCACATAGAACTCCATTTATATTCATCCAAAACAGCAACTACAACAAAACCCAGAATGTAATGTCACATCTATCTCTGTTAGCGCATCTGTCAAACTGGATTTCCATGCAGCTTTTTAAAAAGCTAATAGGAAACATCAGCAAATCAGCATCAGAAAATGCCTAGTGCTATTCAGACTTGGCTCCTCCTATATATTAAATTATATCTCCTTCCTAAATGAAAAATTAACAATGAATATTTTTATTGACCAAAAAAAAACCCCATAATGTTAACTTTAAGTTTTGGTCACAATGACTTTAAAATATTTTTAATATTCTTGTAGGTGATTGGTCCTTTAAGTTCTTACAGTCTCTCTCTGTTTCACCCGCCTCCACATATTCCCACTTTTTTACACTCATCCAAGCGCCTACCACCCTCTGCCATGAATCACAGGCCCCTTCCTGACTTTCAATCTTCTGATTCTTGGAGCACAAACCTGATTTCTGCCAGGCACATGTGAACAGCTCTGTCCTTCCATCAATCATCTGTAAGACTCGATGACTAGGCAAGAGCAACTAACTTCTTGATTTTTTTTATCTTATTTTAAGGTGTCAAAAGTGGAATTAATGGGCCACAGAAAGGTGCTATTAAAAAAAAAAAGCAGATACAGGAAGTGGAGTTTATGATCCAGAGACTAGGAGTTTGCTCTCGATGCACCACGTAAAAATATATTGGTTAAAATGACCTAAATGCATGTGGAGAAAGAGACTTCTGGAAACCGATATTGAGTATTACACATAAATAGCATGTGCCTCTTTCCCCTTTTGAAAAGTGGTTTCCTCAAAGGTCAAATCAAGAAGATAATACATTCCACTTCAAATAGAGAAATTCTATTTTAATATTCTGGTCAAGTCGTGGACAAGTATTCTGTGTATATGATCTAATTCATTCAAAAGACTCCTTCAAATGTACCCCCCTGAACTGGGCATGATTATCCAGAATGATCCCTAAAAATAATTTCTTTTCAAAGATTTAAGCACTGTACTTCCCTTAAAACATGACAAGGTTGGACAGTAGACTATTGCTTTTCTACTTGGCAATAAGATAAATATCTTCTTTCTCTAAGTAATTTGAGAAAGAAGATGGCTTTGGTTAAAAATGTCAGAGTCCTTACTAGCCAAAGTTTCAGAGCTTTATCCGGGCTTTTTACATCAAAGAAGAAGAGCAATTAAATAGTGCTGTATATGCTTCAGCTTTGCATGTGTTTTCAATTCTCTGCAGACCCAAGGTAAGCTAATAAGGGTGACATAAAGTAGAAACTATGGTGTAGAGGGTTATGCAATTGTGGAGCAGTTAGGACTTTTTGCTTCTTTTTTCAGAGGTTTAGCATGTTGTTTAAAATGTATCCTTTTCAGGTATGTGTTTGCATATTTGAGATTGAGTGCGTGTATGAGTGGGTTTGTGTGTGATTCACACAAACACACTGCACATTGGAAAGTTGGAGACTTTAGAGTATTCGCACCCATGGTGCTGTCTTCCAAGGAGCATACATTGCTAAAACTCATAATGAATTGTCCTGCTGAGGAATCCCTTTGTGTTTTTAGTTTGTTTCTGGTTTTGCTTTCTTTTGATTTACAACTAAATTTATCCCACATTAGGGAGAAGCATTACAAGGAAGATGGACTTGAGACAAGACCAAATCCTGAAGATAATATGTAGAACTTTCTATGAAGAACTCATAATGAATTGTCCTGCAGAAGAATCCCTTTGTGTTTTTAGTTTGTTTCTGGTTTTGCTTTCTTTTGATTTACAACTAAATTTATCCCACATTAGGGAGAAGCATTACAAGGAAGATGGACTTGAGACAAGACCAGATCCTGAAGATAGTATGTAGAACTTTCTATGAAGTAGAATACAGTTAAGAATGTTAAATATCCCATAATTAATTAACTAATTCAATTAATGTATATTGAATTCTGCAACATTTAGGAACTGATCTAGCCATATTGAAGGTTATAAAAATGAATAAATCAAACCAAATCCCTTGTCCCTGTCTCTTTCTTTAGGTGTACATTGCATTGAGAAAGAGAAATGCATTATTTCTATACATTATATATCATCAGTTTGTTCTGTTTTAAATGTGCATTTATTTCATTTATTTTATTAACATTTGATAGTGGTTTGAATATATTTGATTTTTTTTTTTTTTTTTTTTTTGAGATGGACTCTCGCTCTGTCACCCAGGCTGGAGTGCAGTGGCGCGATCTCAGCTCACTGCAAGCTCCGCCTCCCGGGTTCACGCCATTCTCCTGCCTCAGCCTCCCGAGTAGCTGGGACTACAGGTGCCCACCACCACGCCCGGCTAATTTTTTGTATTTTTAGTAGAGACGGGGTTTCACCGTGTTAGCCACGCTGGTCTCCATCTCCTGACCTCGTGATCAGCCCGCCTCAGCCTCCCAAAGTAATGGGATTACAGGCAGTGAGCCACCGCGCCCGGCCCATATTTGATTTTTTAAAGATCACCTTGGCTGTCAGGTAGAGAATGGACAGCAGGAAAGCAACAGGAAAAGTAGAAAGAACAAGTGAAAGGCTGTTACCACGATACAGGTGAAAGATCATGGTAGTATGAATTAGGTTTTTGGGAATGAGTGTGTTGATCAGTAGATGTCTAGAAAACATTTTTGGAAGTTAGTTCTTGCAAGTCTTACACACTAAGGGTTCACTGAATTCTAAGACACCAGACAGATTCTTGAAGAAAAAAAAAGGTAGGCAGTAAAACTAATTGTGGCTCTTCCCAACACTCAATTCTCCGCTCAACACCGGGCAGAAGATGGAGGATTCTGTCATTGTCACAGTTCTATCAATGCTGAAAAATTACTGACAGTGACAAGCATCACAAGATCACAGTTAGTGGGGATGGGGCATGAGGTTGAAGAGCATCCACAGAGCCGGTGAATCTGGCGGCTTCCAAGATAAACCCTCCCCTTCCTGAACAGATTCTAAAGGGCAGTGACTCTGGAAATGTGGGGATGACAAAGAGACCAATTCCTAAAAATTTATCTGTATAAATGGTCTAGGAAAAGAAAATAGGCTCCCATCATCAGGAGCAGCTCATGTTCTGCCTTGTTCATTCTGTATTTTTCATGCCTTTGTATCATATCTGATGCACTGATGAGAATATTTCAGCACCTTCTATAGGCAACCAGGCAGAAGTGAAGAGCTGTCTCGTGACATGGAGCATGAAACAGAGCTCATTAAAACACAAAGTTACTAACTCAATTGCCCACTTTTTGGAAACTAGGGAAGGATACAGCCATAAAGATCAAGGCACATCTTGGTATTTAGAGCTAAGATAACATCATCATGAAACATAGACTTCATGTCATCAGAACTGAGGGACATTTTCCCACAACCAGCTTTTCTTCATACTACTTGTTCTTCAACTTTGTATTATATGACAAGGTAACATTTTTATGAACAAGTTGAGTGTCTGTGACCAGCTTTCCTATGAAATTAGTTTTGTCCCAAATGCCTGTTATTCCAGTTGTTAAATTACTTCGTGTCATGCTCCAAGGCTTATATAGTATACAACAATCAAATAGGAACAACACTTTGCATAGCATTAAATGCCAAATATTCTCTGACACTCCAGCAAATGAATGACAGCCAAAAAAAAAAAAATATGTGTTTGCTAAGGATCCTTGCTGTCCTGATTGCCAAGTGAGCCCAGCTAGGGAGATATTGACTTGCCAAGTGTCAGAACTGTGTTAATATTGTTATTATTCTCTGTGAATGAAGTATATAATGCCATTTCCTCTAAAGGTATTATTGATAGTGAGGATTACCATTACAATTTGTATAATTATTGCAGCACCAATAACTGTGTCCCCTTCATCAAATATTTATGTAACTATTCTAGCTCTTTCAGCAATGCTGATTATGAAGATGTTTGATGAACAGTTACATAGGATCCTTGCTATTCAGCTGAATTTTTAATTCAGCTGTAGTTTTGCTAGGCATGCAAGAGTGAGGAAAACTAGGGCTTTGATAAGATTTTACTTACAGGTCGATGAAGATGAACCAGAGGGTATTTACCTGAATAAGAAAGCGTCTTGCTCCTTTGGTCAGCTAAATTTCCTGCTTCCTCACAAGTGGAATTGCTTCTGTCCTGCTGGAATCAAGTACATACCAGATTAGAAAGACAGGACTTTCTAGCAAAGTGAAAAGGGAAATAAAAGTGAAGACATTACAAAACTACACAGTTGTATGGATGGCCCACTTGGAATACCTTTCTCCCTCTGATATCACAAAAGACATATAAAAATCTGCCTGGAACTTCAGAGCTCAATCTCCTAGCCATCTTAGACCATGGGAATTGAACCCTGACTCATTGCTGTTCATAGATTTGGTACTCTGGGATTTTGTACAGGTTGGGAGGGGAGGTGAATACTTGCCAGAAGAAGGTATATATGGGGCAGGGTGAGATGTGGTAACATGGGAGTTTGAGATGGGATACAATAGAAATGAGAGAAGTCAAACTGGAAAAAAATTCCAATTGCCCCTAGGTTCAATAGAATAACCATATTATTGCCACATAGCATCAAGTGAATGTCTGATGCAAAGCTCTCATTAGGAAAGTAATGTTTAAAAACCTACAAGTATTTGCTTAAGAAGGGGCAACAGGGTTACATGCATTCTTAGCATTAAATTAAAACAGTGTCTGGTATGGTATTAAAAAGTCCCCACCACTATTGTACCATGAAGGCGATGGGCCATTAGCCTTCATTAACAAATCAGGGCCTGGGCTAACCCTGCTTTCTGTCTGATTATAAAGACTGTGATACAGTCCATGCCACTTAATCTGGACCCAGGTAATAAGCACATCTTAATTAAGGTGCCCTGCTGGGAACCAATTTAATGCAATATATATAATAGGATTTCAATTGTGCTTTGGTGTCTTTGTGCAATATAATAGGGGTGGCTGGAGAAGCTTTATGTCACTAATTTCACAAACTGAATACAATCTCGGTATCTCAGCATGAGTATTTTGAAAGCTCAGAGGAGAAAAAAATGAAACCACATCAACTTTAGAATGGTGTAAAGGGAACAGCTTTTAAATGCCTTTTCATCAGTGTCTCATTTTTAGAAGCTACGTTGAAGTGCACTGATGATAGTATCAATTGATCTCTTCTCTTCTTGTAGAGACTTTGTAGGCTGTTCAATATTTCTTGCATTTTTTTATAAAAGTGTTTTCCCCCAAATTCCTTCTTTGATACATTTTAAGGAGAAACAAGATCCACCTGCTATAGCAATTTGAAGAACAATAAAGTAGATAATGAGGAAGCAATTAATAAAGTTAGCATGCTGTGTATTTATTTCTAATACATTGTTTTTACTTTTATGAAAGTTAAGTAGTTTAATTTGACCAAAACACCTGCAATCATCTGCTTGTTCATCTATACATCCATTCATTTATTTGTCCATTCGTTTATCTATCATCCATTAATTCCAGTACTCAGTCATTCATTTATTCCACAAATTTTATTAAGCATCTATACACTTCTTAACATCTCATGTGAATTAGTTAATATCTCAAGATACCAGACTCTCCACAGACTATGAGCACTGCAAAAGCCAACTAGATTAGCAATGGCAACAGATGCGAAGAGCATCAGAATATGGGGCAGGGTGGTGAGGGGTTGCCAGAGGAGCTGACCCATGATCCAAGATGTGGACTTGGATGATTGATGATCATAAATGATTAGGAAGTGACTTCAGTCAGTCGAAAGAGGCTAAAAAGTTATTGCAATTTAGAATTTTATGTAAAATATTTTTGAAGTTTTCTTTTCTCAAGTCAATTTTATTCCAGAATATTTTCCAGTGATGGAATTTTGTCTGCACAATAAAATATTCCTAAAAGATTTTATTGTTGTTAATTTTCCTAACACCCTGAGATATCAATCTTATCCATCTATCTATCTATCATCTATCTATCTATCCATCCATCCTTCTATCCAGAGAGCTTTCTGCTCTGCTTTTTGTTTTTGCTTTATTTTCCCTTTTCATTTGTATCCTAAGCATTTTTCAGATTATCTTCTTTTTAGGCAGACAGGGTGGAGAAGGATGGCAGTTTTCTTTAACATAACTCACTGAACTGTGATCTTCACATGAGTGAAGGCCTGGTGTGCAAACTGAGAAAGTTAACTCCCCAGGGGTTTACACATTGATGAGCTTTAAGGAATAAAAGATAAGGTCCTTAAATGTGTAACCTCCATTTTCTTTGGCAGAGAGTTCAAGAAAGCTCACAGCAGTGAACTGTAGCAAATGGAAACCTTGATTTCAATTGCAACACATTCTTGGGATTCATGGAAGGTGAGTTAAATGGTTATACTCAATTTAATTAACTCACAATCAGTGGCATTTATCTGGCTAACACTTAATAGAATATCTACCAATTTTATCATATCTCTAAAACAATTATATACTTTAAAGTGAGCAAGTTCATTTTGATTTTCTTTACCTTAAACTCTGAAATTCAATGTTTTCTTAGATCAATTAGCAAATAGTTATTTAATAAATATAACTAAATTATGTTCTAACTCTATTAATACAGATTATCCATCATAAACCAAACAATTGCTGAGAACTTATATTTTGCAAACAAATGTGAAAGAAAGAGATAAAAGTTTGTCAAATGGAACTTCTTTCAAACTCATCACCATGACCATAGGGAGTACAAAATTATAAATAATAATCATACATGTTTATATAGTATTCCAAACTTTATGAATCATTTAATGTACATTTTATGTGTTCATCCCGGTGACTCATCTCTGAGGGCAATGATGACTTTTCTTTTACAAATGAATAACTTGCAATTCAGAAAAGTTAGCATTGAAGAAATAACAACAGTTCAAACATGAATAAGTGAAATTTTGAGCTTGGGCTTTTCTTTCTAAGTGTTTGTGACTTCATGTGTCTTAAGTTGTAAGAATTAAAGAAAGAGGAAAGAAACATGAAGGGTGGCTCACCAGTCAAGACGGATTTATTTTAGAGAGAACAAACCTGAGAGGAGCTTCTGGCCAAGTTAGGTTAGAGGTACACTCTCTTACAGACTAAGAGTTTTTAAGGATTCAGGGTGGGAGAGTTTATCGGAGGCTTGGCTTGCTTCTGTGCCTCTTTGTTGTGCTTATCTGGGAGGGAGAGTTGTGTGTCTATTGCCATACATCTTTCTGCAACTGCAGGCATACCCCTTGAGTCTGCTTTTAGCTTCCCTATCTCAGTGCACCTGAAGGGAAAGGAATGTGCTTATTAAGGCCCACTGTTTTACTGGGGCCCATTGTATGAGGGTGAAGTTTGGCTGTTACCCAAGAGACTTTCCCTCCACCTCCCTCTGTGCCTGAGCTGTCTTATTTGTATTTTACTGTCTGCTCTCTTTGGCTGCTTAAAGTTAAAAGAGAAGTAATTTCCTTATAATATCTAAGGCTAAAAAGGGAGCTGAAAAAGTGGCGGTGTTTGTCCAAGATGATGGTGCTCCTGCTCTGTCACAAGTGACACAGCAAAATCTCATACATTTGTACATACATTTGTGAAATTTTAACAAATGCCGCTTTAATGTCTCCATATATAGACCTTTTCTAAAACACACGACAGATAACAAAAATTAAAACACTCAAGTTCTTTCACTTAGAGTGCTATGCTTTACTGGTAATCATTAGAGCAATCCTGTAGCTACTGTTATTATCTGCATTGAACTGATGAAAGGTTAGAGAGGTTAAGTGACTTGCCCAAGGTGATTTAGTCTTGGAGCTTGTGCACGGTCCTAATCAGTGAGAGTCTTATGCACATACATGTCCTAGTGTTGCTCATGTCCATAAAGCACTGGTTTTTATTGCCTCATCTATGCCATCTCAGGGTTCTAAATTTTATCCTAAATCAGGAAGTCATGTACGTTTGCCTCTTGATCTTGCCTGAGAGATTGCTGTTCTGTCATTCTCTGCACAAAAACATAAAGGCTGTTTGTAGAAACCTCAAGTTCTCAATAAAGTTCTGTTTGTGATTATATCTGAACTATTGGGTTTGCTAAATAGTTCCTAAGTTGCATATCAGTCTTTGTAAATGACTGCTGGTTGCCTGGATGACAGCAACAGCAATAACACTTTTTCCAATTAGCTCAAGGATAAAATGGGTTAATTGGAAAGAATAGGGGGTTCCTTCCCAGCTGGAACTCATAGATGTGAAAAATCAGTCATGTTCTCTCTCTCTCCCTAGCCTCTTATAGTCTCTGATCTGTCCTTTTAGCTTTCAGGGACTCTGGCTTTTTTTCCTGAATGTGAATGACACAGTTGCTCCATTCTGACTTTTCTTTCTCTGGTAACACTATCATCTAATTGATTCAGGAGCGTTTTTCTTTTAATTCAAATTATTGAGAGAGTGTACATTGACTTCTGGATCTTCTGTTCTACTCCATTGATCTATGTGGTTATCCCTCTACCAATTCCCCAGTCTTGACTAATGCATGTATATAATAATTTTTTAAACTGAGTAGACTTATTTCCTCTACTGTATTTTTATTTTTCACAATTGTTTGATATGTTCTAGATTCTCTGCCTTTCCATATAAATTTTACAATAATCTTGTTCATACCCACAACAAAAGTTGCTAGGATTTTGATATAAATTTTGTTAAATCTGTATATCAATATTGAAGGAATTGACAGCTTTACTATGTTATTTCTTCCAATTGATGAACATAGCATGTCTCTTTACTTGTTCAGTTCTTCTTTGATTTCTTCCATCAATATTGTGCAGTTTTAACTAAAAATAGTGAAATATTAAATATATTGACATGTTTCCCAAGGACCATCTTTCTATTCCTGGAATAACTCTCACTTTGTCAGAAAAAATCTTATTAAGTGAATACATGTTTTTTCCTAGCCTTGTCTATGCGTTAGTCTTCTTGGTCCCATGAGCTATGACTAATGCTCATAGAGGTAGTGTGAAGAGTATTAGGTGGTCAATAGGGCATCTTAGGACCACCCCTATAGTAGATGATGTATTTTGCTGACCATTTCAAAGCAGAATGAGTGAGACCAGTGTCCCTCCAAAAAAACTGTTTACAAGCTGTCTCAGTTTATGAGGTATAGATTATATGAAAAGAAGTAGCTAGAGTCTCATACATGTGTTAATTTTCAGAATAGCAAACGAGATCATTGTTTCTTATGATACTTCATATGTTTTAGAAACCTTGGCCTTCACTTCCAAAGTTTACAGCCTATTACAATATTTTAGGGAGCTATAGAGTTGTATCAGTTTTCTGGGAACTGATGTTCATTGAGTCGATCTTGACATTTCAAAATATTCTACAAAAGTTTCTTTAGTAATCATTCCAAATGGGAAAGATTGAGCTATTCAGATCAAATATTAGTCAGCTTATTAGTGAAAGCAAGTTCTTAGCAAGGCATGAACAATGGATGATGTCATTGCTGCCACACTATTTCAGATCTTAAGTAGCTAGATAATTTGCTTGTGTGCTTACTACTCAGCAATTCTTAGTTAAACAGACAAAATAACTTCTAAAGTCTCTGGACTTCTGGGGATGGTCATATGCCTTCCACTCTCCAGTCTCCTCACTTGCTAATAACTATTCTTAATAAATGCCTATTTCCCTCCACCAAGTGTTTACCTGATAAAGTTTGATTCAATTTTGTATATTCACCTTTTTCAAACTATAAGAGGGCTTACTGAAGAGGCCCTTTCCTGGGAGAAGGGAGGGTAGCTGCTCATGAATTAAAAGGAATCAAAGAGAAACAGTGCAGATGGAAATGAGTTCAGTTAATGGATGCACATAAGCAATGTTGACTCAAGATGATTGGACAGAGGCCCTAAGCTTTTGGGTTGAGGTAGGAAAAACAGAAGAGAGCACCATTATGTCTAAGATTTTTGTCTTGAGGAGACTGAAATTCCACAGTTCATTGGGTAGCTCTATCTGTGAGAATTTCATGACATGTGGATATAACTAGTAGAGGAACAAATACATTTTTATTTCAATATTTAACTAAATAAATGCAGATAAGGTTACATCCTACCCTAAAATTACAACTATTGTGTTCCAGTTTTTGTTGCTGTTGTTGTTGTTGTTACAGATTAGGAAACTGATGCCCAAAGAGATTGAATGTTTTGCCTAAAATCCCAGAATTAAATACTTCAAAACTACAACTGAGTTTTATTAATTTTCTTCCCAGTGCTTTTTCTTTCAGGTATACCACTCAAAAATTAAAAAGAAAATTCAAACAAAGAGAAAACAAACTTCTAATCTGGAAAAAATACAATAAGGAGTTCATAGACAATAATCTAAATGTGGCCAGTTGACAGTCTCTTGAAAATTTAATCACATAAGGCTCAAAACAGTTTATATAATATTTTATTACATTTCCCACTGTGTCAATATGCAGTTGTTTCAAAATTGAGTGTGGAAAGAAGAATTTTCATTTTTGCACCTCTTTTTTTTTTTTAAATTCCCTCTGTAACAATAAGACACTGATACTTTCATGATTTTTTTAAAAAACATTGGTTGGAACAGGCTGTATCACTCATTTTCTTACAGGCAACATGAGACTTGAAATTTCACTATCCCAGCATTACTTCTGGAAAGAGAAAAGTAGTGCTTCTGTGATGGTAATTGAACCAATTATCAAAACTTTAGCCAGAATTGATAGGGGTTGGTTGGGGGGAGAGTGAGAGTTTGACATTTGAAGGTGAGAGCCTGTAGGTATTCTGTAACTATATGAGTGTACTACCCAAAATCTGCTTGAATAAAGGGTATTTTTTATTGGTTTTACCATAGAATCAACTCATATTGCTTTTTGATTCCGGAGATACCAGAGTATTCATGTATTGAAAAGTAATTCCAAGTTTCCATTTATAAGAAACTTATGGATTATAAAGAATTGAATGAAAAAGGAAGCAAGACTGTCCCAAGGGGCACAGAAATTCTTCTTGTCTGGCCCCAAGCTATCTTTCTGTCTTGATCTTCTATAAGCCACACCTCAATTTCTCCTGTTCCCATATATACCCTTATTTCTTTCAAATGAAATTTTAGCCAGCTGCATATCAACACTTCTTGAAATGTACATCAAAACCTTTGCAGCATCTCCCTCTGAATAATTTCCCTCACACTGAAATCACTCCTAACTCTATGCTCCTAAACCCCTGCAATTCTTTGGTGTTGCCTCTTTGTTCTGGAAAGTTTGCTTAAGCCGACTTGCCTCTGCTCCTAGTAAGCTTGCCATGACTAGTTCTCATCTCTTCTGATGCTTTGTTTTCTCTGTGTACACACGTAGAGTCTCATCTTTAATTTTTATCAATTTCACTTTTGAAACATTTGCGTTTTTATGTATTATGTGTTGGCACCCTGAACTCCCCTTCTTATGCCAGACTGTGGCTTTTGCTCATCAGCCGATTAGCTCACATTTCATTTTCTCACATACTGTCTCTACCTGCTGGCAGTGTCTACAAAAGCATTGCCAATTTGTGCAATGACTTGAATTTTTTATTGCTCTTTCCTGCATGGCTTTATAAAAACAGTGTACAACAGGGAGAAGTACCTATAACAGTGATAAGGAGATTGTTATAAAAGTGCAATGGCATTAAAAACATGATAGAAATCCTTAAAATGCATATCAAAAGCAGCGCATGTTGAGGGTTAGTTGGACACTTGCTGAACCTGTGCCAGCCATCAACATGTTTGATTGTGAAGCAAAGGAACAAAATTAAAGGAATGAAAAATTTAAAAGTTAGTATCCTGTTACTGGAAATTGTGTTTAAAATAAAAAGTAAAATCAGCTATAGTATATTATGTTTTAGCTCTCTGGAAATAGAATTACCATAATAATTTGTAAGTCTAATATGTACAATTTGCATTTTTGAATTTTGGGTGAATTTTTAGACAAGTATTGTTTACAAAGAGGGCAACTTTCTGCATTCCTTTGCTGAATTAATCATCATCATCATGGCTTCTCCTTGCCAGATTTTTTTACGTTGCTAGTCTTTGGGATATAGAAAAAAGATAGTATTCTTCATCTTCTACCTTTTCTTTTTTATGTTAAAATTAAGGCCCTGAGGTTCACATATCTTTTCTATCATCACATAAAGAAAACACGGTAGAATTTAAATTAAAATTCAAGCTTTTGCTGATAGATCTAAGGTGGATTTTTTTTACTTCTTTATTCTATCATGTGAATCTAGTTAATACAATCCACCAACTATGTGGACACCTTTCTACAAGGTGCCAATAAAAGAAATATTTGTCTATCATTAAAATGTTTAAAGGAAAATTAAACAATATAGGGTAATCTCTGATTCTAAAACGTTATTCAGATTTTTCCCCTCTTCCCACAATACTTCCCACACTGAAATGTTTCTTTTTCCTTACTCTAGACATCTAAAATGTTACTAAACCCAACTCACAGAGTTCTTGACTCTCTTCCTTCCCTGTTTGGCTCAAGACGTTTTATGTGGATTACTTTAGAGGCTATGTTTATTTCAACTTGCCCACGTGTATACATCAATATCTGAATTCTATACCATCACAAAATAAAAGGTAGTTAATATATGATGGGAGGATCATTCTTCCTTGACATGGCAAAGGGAGATATTGGAAGCACTTATAAGTCATCTTTAAATATCATCTGCAAATATTGAGGCTTTCACCAAGGAGCCAGGACAATGGACAATGTGAATACATCCATCATATTTCCCCCACCAAGAGAAAATGATCCCTTTAGAGTATATTAGTAAAAACAACTTGGAACAACAAATATTTGTCCTAAAGTGACTACTTCATTTTAGCAATTCCTTTTTCTGGTGAGATCTAACACTTCTCGGAGGTTGTGGAATAACTGAAAGCTGACAGCAAAAACTTTTAGTGATTCTTCAGCATCTTCCCAATGGGAAGCAACTGGATGCAGCGATATTTTTTCTCCTTGCAAAACTGAATTAAATAGCAGTTAGTTGTGGCATGTTGAGCAGATATTTAACCTTCTTATACATGATAACCTGCTTCAAAAACTGTGGATGGTAATATCAACCTCATATTGTTAGCTGGAAGAATAATTGATGTCTTGGAAGCACAGTACCTGGCTTAGAATGGATTCTCAATAGCTCATATATTTGATTTTTTCTTCAATCTCAAATAAAGTCTGTATTTTCTACTTACAATCTTCTCCACGAGGTTTCTCTGAGTAAAGAACAAGTAAAATGTATTTTAAATAGCTAATATGACACTCAATAAATATAGTATCTGCCACTATGAAGACTATGCTTAATAAACTCAGAAAGTTGTTGTACAAGATTTTGGTGGCAGGGAGATGACCATCAGGCAAATTAACACAAATAGAGCCAGGAACAAAACGGCAGTAGCTAACAGGATATCAGGGATGAAAACAGAGATTCCTCAATAAAGCAGGCTTATATGGTTTGTCTCTTGCGTCCTCACCCAAATCTCATCTTGAATTGTAATCCCCACGTGTCAAGGGAGGGACCTGGTGGGAGATGACCAGATCACGGGGGCAGTTTCCCCCATGCTATTCTTGTGATGGCGAGTGAGTTCTCACAAGATTTTATGGTTTAGAAGTGTTTGGCAGTTCACCCTTCACTCTCTTTCTCCTGCCACCTTGCGAAGAAGGTACTTGCTTCTCTTTTGCCTTAGGCCATAATCGTAAGTTTCCTGAGGCCTTCCCAATCATGTGGAACTGTGAGTCAATTAAACCTCTTTCCAGTGTAAATTACCCAATCTCAGGCAGTTCTTTATAGGAGTGTGAAAGCGCACTCATACAGAAGCCGTGGTGAGGAAGGCAAGTCATTCACCAATAAGGTCAAGGTGCTAAGAGAAGGAACAATGTGCTCCCGGGATATTTATTGTTTTGGCAATTTTATAGATTTATTTGGGTCCCCTCAAACTACTGAATAGAAGGCAGGATGTGGATAAACTGTACCTTATGGGTTATAGTTCAAAAATGTGTGGGTTTGCTAAACTATAATGCTTTCAAAAGAACAGTGAGGCATCAACTCACTGTTCATTTGAAAATAAAATGGATTAAAAGACTTCATTTTTTATTCTAGTGAGATAACTCCATATTTTGATATAACTAAGGGTCAGACATAAGTAAAGTGTACTCATCATTCTAATTCCACCCTCCCACTACCTTGCACCAACACTCAAGCCCCTCTCTCACCTAATCACCTAAATTAGAAGTGTAAAGTTTCATCAACCCTTCTCTTTTTCATTGGCCCACATTTGACCAGTTATTCCTTAATCTTGCCTGATCTTTCCATTCTATTGCCTCTACCTTAGTTCATCATTTTCTCCTGGACATTTTCATTTTTCTTTTTGGGAAGATGGTCATTTTCCCTCTGATCCCTCCATCATTCTGAAGATCAATCTTTCTGGATTCCAAATCAGCCATGCAACTCTTTGGCTTGAATCTCTTCCATGGTACTCCAAGATGATTTATAATCTAAAATCCTTAGCTGTGATGCCTGACTACCTTTCCAGAATCATATAAGGTCATTTGCTCCTTTTTCAGTCTCTTCCCAGCCATACTGGATTGTATATCTTCTTTCTGCCATGATTTCCCAGGCTTTTCCATCTTTGCATGTGCTTTATCCTCCTCCTGAAATTCCCCATGTTCATCAGTTGAACTGAAAAACATACAATCATTTTTTAATTTTTATTTTATTTATTTATTTATTTATTTTTGAGATGGAGTCTGCTCTTATTGCCCAGGCTGGAGTGCCATGGGTGTGATCTTGGCTCACTGCAACCTCCACTTCCTGGGTTCAAGCAATTCTCCTGCCTCAGCCTCCCGAGTAGCTGGGATTACAGGCATGCACCACTACGCCTGACTAATTTTCTATTTTTAGCAGAGATGGGATTTCTGCATATTGGTCAGGCTGGTCTTGAACTCCCGACCTCAGGTGATCTGCCCACCTCGGTCTCCCAAAGTGCTGGGATTACAGGAGTGAGCCACCATGCCAGGCCGTATTTTTATTTTATTCTTCAACTTTCATTTTAAGTTCTGGGGTACATGTGCAGGATGTGCAGTTTTGTTACAAAGGTAAACGTGTGTCATGGTGGTTTGTTGCACAGATCAACACATCACCTATGTATCAAGCCTAACATCCATTAGCTACTCTCCCAGATGCTCTCCCTCCCCCTACACTTCCCAACAGGCCCAGTATGTGTTATTCCCCCTGATATGTCCACGTGTTTTCATTGTTCAGCTCCCACTTATAAGTGAGAACATGCAGTGTTTGCTTTTCTGTTCCTGCATTAGTTTGCTGAGGATAACAACCTCCAGCTCTATCCATATCCCTGCAAAAGATATGACAGAGATAGGGTGTCACTATGTCACTATGTTACCCAGGCTTGTCTTGATCTCCTGGCCTCAAGCAATCCTCCTGCCTTGGCCTCTCAAAGCATTGGGATTACAGGCATAAGCCACTGTGCCTTGTCTCTTTTGTGAATTCTTGAATGTCATCCTCTGACACCACTCCTTCCTTACCCCCTCCCCCAAAAAGAAAGAAACTCACCCTCTTTTGAGCTACACAGCACAGTGACGACACATTCTGACTCCGTAGACAGATAGGCTCAGCTCCTGACTGGGCCACCTTCTATCCACATCATGTCAGTCTAACCTTAGTTAGCACTCAGGAAAATGGGATGATCATAGTACATCTACCACATTAAGTTGTTGTGAGCATCAGATGAGATTATGTTTGTAAATATTAAGTTCAGCATGTGGCACAGATGATGTGCTTAATAGAGATGGCTCTCTTTTTTTTCGGCTAGAGATGAGGTCTCACCGTGTTGACCAGGCTGGACTGAAGCAGCAGGATCATGGCTCACTGCATCTTCAACCTCCTGGGCTCAAGTGATCCTGCCACCTCAGCCCTCAAGTAGCTGGGACTATAGGTGTATACCACTATGCTCAGCTAATTTTTATTTATTTATTTATTTTTTTGTAGAGATGGAGTCTTGCTATGTTGCCCAGGCTAGTCAACTCCTGACCTTAAGTGATACTACTGCCTTGGTCTCCCAAAGTTTTGGGATTACAGATGCGAGCCGTAGCATCTGGTTGCTGTTTTTAGTAATGATCACTAAACTGGATAGATTACTGGGATCGATGTTGGTAAGTAGTATATTGTAACATAATGACTTGTTTACTGCTATTTTTTTCATAAGACTACAAGTTCCTTTAGTGAAGGAACCACATTTTATTTATTTCCTCATTTCTGTACCTCTTGTCTCAGCACCTAGGGCACAATGCTTTTCAAATGTCTGAATAAATTTCTTTAGAATAGTTTTCTTTTGCTTATGACATTCTCATTTATTGACAACATTAACATCCCTTGTGAAAAGAAATTTTAGAAAGTGGCATTTTAGGGAATAACAACAGTGTTGTACTTCAAAAAGACATTTCTTGGATGCCCATTTAAGTGGAATTACCTCTAGAAACAGTTTCTACACAGCAGGTTGTTAGATTAAACAGGGGACACCGTTGGTTGGAAGGCCCAGGCCGAAGATAGTTTATTGCCTGCTAATTCAGGTAAAGTATACTATCCTAACCATTACACACAGGTACCTCCAAGTACAATAAAAGATGTTGTTACCTTGACAACATCTCCTGATAAAAGGAGAATGACTAGAGTAACTAACTTTTTTTCTTCAAATCAAATGCTTTGTAAAAGACCTCATGCTATCTAGAAGTAAATCAATATTACCTAACAGGGATTTCGCAGGAAATAAAACTTTGAAATGAAGAACACTTGGTAACGTAATTCACATTAGAAGCACTTCTTTGGTGTTTTATATATGGAAGTTACTAAAAATGTTCATTTTCTTTGATCCAATAAGCTTAGTATGAAAATTATTAATATAACAATATAAATGATTTTATTAATAATTGGTAATTACAATTATTGGTATAAATAAATGGTATTTACAGCAGAGTTTGGGCAGGAATATTAAATGAGGAGATTCATGTAATTTCATCTGAAAGCACCTACTATACTCTGTAGCATATATTAGGAACCTATATGTGTTTTCATGTTTTCTTTTGTCTTCTCTCTCCACAGGATGGTTTATTGTCTATCTGAACACAGTTTATTTTGTTGAACATCTATACATATTAAACATTTATAGATGTTTGATATCATTCGCCTAAAATAAAATAAGAAAAAATATATAGATATACACATAGAGAATTTCCCTATAGTTTCTTTCCTCAAGGAACTTGCGGTTTTATAAAAGAAATAACTCGTGAACAAGTCATTATCTTATATCAATTACCAATATTTATCATATTGATCTATGATATTTGATAATCATAATAAAAATCCTTTATTAGGCATACTCACATATAATAAATGTTATTTATACCATAACTAATTGTATATATTTTCATATTTTATATATTTCCTACATACATACAACTTAGGTTTACTATATCATTTTATATATATAATTACTAATTTAATGCTTTTATGTATATATGGTTCTCTCTATATGGATAACTTATATACCTTTACTAATTTTATATATATATATGTGTGTGTGTGTGAATTACACATAGTTATACACACACACAAACCACAGACACTGACACTGATGGTTAGGTTCATTGAAGTACCGTAGTCAACATGTCTCCCAAATTGTAAAATATTTCCACAGACCTAACAAGTTTACCAGTTTTTTTTTACTTTCATTGTGCTAGTTTTAGGGTTCAGCATTGTAATTATTTCATGAATTACATTTCTAGATGAAAAACTATGCCTGTTTAACAAGCAAATTCTAATACAGTGCACTCATTATCATTGTCAAATATCAAATTACATTAAATCTCAGCTAATCTTCCATGACCTTGGCTACCACACTATTAGTGATCATAGAGAACACAGATATAGAATATTCATTTTAAAATATAGACAACACATATTAATAAATAGTAGGGTAAACCACAGCCTTTCAGATGTCACACTGAAATACTTAAGGGTGATCACATTCTCACAAAACCACAGGAGGTGAATTCCTTGCAGTAATGCCTCAGATATTGGGACTGTATTTAGCTAGCTGCACTTTTTCCAAACATGATTGTATTTTAATCATTCTTGTTACAGTAATTAGAACACAAATATTACTTAACAGATGGCCTGAAAGATGAAAATGTGTCAATCAAAAGATTTGGATATGCTTTAACATTTTGCGTGCTTTCGAAAGGTCAAGTCAGTAAGCATCTAGTCACGGACTTTCTGATTTTTTGTTTGTTTGTTTATTTTGAAACAGAGTTTAGCTCTTGTCACCCAGGCTGGAGTGCAGTGGCGAGATCTCGGCTCACTGCAACATCTGCCTCCCGGGTTCAAGCAATTCTCCTGCCTCAGCCTCCAGAGTATCTGGAGTTACAGGCGTCCACCACCATACCTGCTGATTTTTGTATTTTTAGTAGAGACGGTGTTTCACCATAATCCAGGCCGGTCTCGAACTCCTGCCGTCAGGTGATCCACTGGCCTCGGCCTCCCAAAGTGCTGGCATTACAGGCATGAGCCCCGTACCCGGCCTCTAATTTACCAATATTCCTTTGAGGTAAGACTAACTATCACCATTTTACAGACTAGGAAAATGAAGGCCCGTTATAAAAACTGAGCAAAAAGTAACACTTTCTTTGGCTTGATTCCAAAATCTGTGTTTGAAATGAGAAGGAGGCAGAAACCTATATTTACTGGGCACTTATTATTTAGAAGACATCATAGTACTTTCCTTATCCTTTTAAAATAACATATTGAGTTTAAAATATATATTATATTTATGTATAACTATATATAATTATGTACATATAAAATTATGTATATATAAATTTATAATCTTTTCCATTTTTAAGTGTACAGTTTAAATATTTTTACATATATATTTTCACCCTTCATCACACCTCCTACCCTCTCTCTTTCCCAGCCTGTAGTAACCACAAATCTACTTTCTATCTTCATGAGATCCACCTTTTAACTTCTTCATATGGGTGAAAATATGAAATATTTTTCTTTCTGTGCTTGGCTTATTTCATTTAACATAATGACTTCTAGTTCCATCCATGTTGCTACAAATGACAGGATTTCATTCTTTTTATTACTGACTAATATTCCATGAAGTATATGTACCACATTTTCTTTATGCATTAATCTATTGATGGGCACTGATGTTGATTCCATATTTTGACTACTGTGAATAGTGTTGCAATAAACATGGGAGTGCAAATATCTCTTTTTTATATTGATTTCCTTTTTTTTTTTTTGGATGTATGCCCAGTAATGGAATTACTGGATCACACAGAAGTTCCATTTTTAGATTTTTGAGGAACCTCCAAACTGTTCTCTATAGTGGCTGTACTGATTTACATTTCCACCAACAGCGTACGAGGGTTCCCCATTCTCTAATTCTTGCCAGCACCTGTTATTGCTTGTCTTTTTATGCAAGCTGTTTCAACCGGGGTGAGATAATATTGCATTGTGGTATTGATTTGCATTCTCTGATGATTAGAGATATTGAATGTATTTTCATATAAATGTAGGCCATTTGTATGTCTTATTTTGGGAAATGTCTGCTCAGATCTTTTGCCCATTTCTAAATAGAATTATTTGCTTTTTGTTATTGAGTTGTTTGAGCTTCTTATATATTCTGGTCATTAATTCATTGTCAGAGGGATAGTTTGCAAATATTTTCTCTCATTCTGTGTGTTGTCTCTACATTTTGTTGATTGTTTTTTTGCTATTCAGAATCCTTTTAGCTTGACATAATCCCTATTGCCTATTTTTGCTTTGGTTGCCCATGCTTTTGAGGTCTTACACAAAATATCTTGGCTTAGATTAATGTCACAGAGCATTTCTCAAATTTTTCTTCTAGTAACTTCACAGCTTTCGGTCTTGGATTCAAGTCTTTACTTTCATTTGATGTTTGTGTATGGTGAGAGGTAGAGGTCTATTTTTATTCTTTTGCATATAGTTATCCAGTTTTCCTAGCACCATTTATTGAAAAACTACTTTTTTTTCATTGTAAGTTATTGGTGCAAGTTCTTGTTGGAGATGAGTCACTGGTAAATGCACAGGTTTATATCTGGGTTCTCTATTCTGTTTCATTGGTCCATGTGTCTGTTTGTTTTTTTTTTTTTTTATGCCAGTACCATGCCGTTTTGATTACTACAGCTCTGTAATAACTTTTGAAATTAGGTAGCAGTGTGATGCTTCCAGCTTGGTTCTTTTTGCTCAGTATGGCTTTTTCTCTTCAGGGTCTTTTGTAGTTCCATTTCGATTTTAAGATTTCAAAAAAAATTTGTGAAGAATATCATTGGTATTTTACTAGGGATTGCATTAAATCTATAAATTGCTTTGGGTAGTATTGTCATATTAACAGTACTGATTCTTTCAATCCATGAACATGAAATATCATTCTGTTTTTTTGTGTGTGTCCTACTTGTTTCATCAGAGTTTTATAGTCTTCCATGTATAGAGCTTTCACCTCTTTGGTTAGATTGATTCCCAGGCATTTTATATTTTTTGTAGCTATTGTAAATGGGATTGCTTTCTTGACTTCTTTTTCAGATTGTTTGTTGTTAGGGCTTATGCATACTACTGATTTTTGTATGTTGATTATGTGTCTTGCAACTTTACTGAACTTGTTTATCAATTCTAACAGTTTTTTGGTAGAGCTGTTAGGTTTCTCTAAGAATAAGATTATATCTATGAACAAAGCTAATTTGATGTTTTTGTTTCAAATTTGGATGTCCCTTATTAATTTCTCTTGCCTAATTTTTTTGTTTGTTTAAGTGATGGTAAGTATTGCTATCCTTGTTTCATAGTTGAAAACTCCTAGGGCTAAGATGAGTTCAGTGAATCACCTGGGGTCATATGGCAAATAAGTGAAAAAGCCTAAGTCTGCAGCCTTCCTTATGTATTGAAGAACTTTTTTTTTTTTTAAGAACTTCAAAATGACATATCTGAGTTTAGATGTCTAAAATAAGAGCTTTACTCAATATTTGACATGGATTGACAACTCTAATCATCCCAATGATTTTGGTCTGTACATATGCCCTCAAAAATTGAGTCACTGTGGCCTGGCGTGGTGGCTCATGCCTGTAATTCCAGAACTTTGGGAGGCCAAGGCAGGTGGATCAGGAGGTCAGGAGTTCGAGTCCAGCCTGACCAACATGGCGAAACCCTGTCTGCACTAAAAATACAAAATTAGCCAGGTGTGGTGGAGCATGCCTGTAATCCCAGCTACTCGGGAGGCTGAGGGAGGAGAATCACTTGAACTCATGAGGTGGAGGTTGCAGTGAGCCAAGATGGCACCATTGCACTCCAGCCTGGGCGACAGAGCAAGACTCTGTCTCAAAAAAAAAAAAAATTGAATCATTGTTTTCCAGTCCTTGGAGGGCAAGGCAAATATTCCCAAACATCAGACTTTCTATTGATTAATCAGTTATTATTAGCTCATTTACTAGAGATTTTATGATGTGTCAGCCACTATACAAAGTGTTTTGTCAGTATAGTCATGTGCCACATAATGACGTTTTTATTAATGACAGACAGCATATAAGACAGTGATCCCATAAGATTATAATACAAAATTTTTACTGTACCTTTTCTATGTTCATATATGTTTAGATACACAAATACCATTGTGATACAATTTGCTACTGTATTCAGTACAGTAACATCTTGTACAGGTTTGTAGCCTAGGATCAATCAGCTATACCCTAAGCCTGGGTACTTAGCAGGCTATGCTATCATCTAGATTTGTTTGTGTAAACACATTCTATAATATTTGCACAACAATGAAATCACCTAACGACACATTTCTCAGAATGTATTCCCATCGTTAAGCAACACGTGACTGTATTATCTCATTTAATAACCCCAAAGCCCTATGAGGCAATGTGATAGGCAGAATCTAAATACCCTTTTCTTCTCTCTAAAAAATACATTTTCTTTCTTTCTTTCTTTCTTTCTTTCTTTCTTTCTTTCTTTCTTTCTTTCTTTCTTTCTTTCTTTCTTTCGAGACAGGATCTCACTGTCACTCAGACTGGAGTGCAGTGGCACAATCATAGCTCACTGCAGCCTTGAACTCCTGGGCTCAAGTGATCCTCTCCCCTCAGTCTCCCAAAGTTCTAGGAGCCACAGCACCTGGCCCTGAAAAAGTACCTTCTTATACATTAATCTAGCTATTGCTATGAAGGAATTTAGTACATGGAATTAAGATTATTCTTGTAGATGAAAATAAGATTACTAATTAGCTGGCTTCAAAATAGAGAAATTCTTTTGGATAATCTAGGTTGGTCCAATGTAATTATATAAACCCTTAAAAACAGAAGAGGAAGGCAGAAGAGATGAAGAAAAAGGAGGAAAGAGAAATTCAAGGCATGAGAAAAAGTTGACCTGCTGCTGCTGGCTTTGATAATGAAAGACACCAGAAGCCTAGCTCTTCATCACTACAATGGACTCTCCCCTAGCTAATTTTTCTCAAGACTTTATTATTAATTAATTAATGTATTTATTTTTATCATACTTTAAGTTCTGGAGTACATGTGCAGAACGTGCAGGTTTGTTACATAGGTATACATGTGCCATGGTGGTTTGCTGCACCCCTCAACCCGTCATCTACATTAGGTATATAGCCTAATGCTATCCCTCCCCCCGCCCCCCATCCTCAGACAGGCACCGATGTGTGATGTTCCTCTCCCTGTGTCCATGTGTTCTCATTGTTCAACTCCCACTTATGAGTGAGAACATGCGGTGTTTGGCTTTCTGTCCTTGTGTTAGTTTGCTGAGATTGATGGCTTCCAGCTTCATTCATGTCCCTGCAAAGACATGAACTCATCATTTTTTATGGCTGATTAGTATTCCATAATGTATATATGCCACATTTTCTTTATCCAGTCTATCATTGCTGGGCATTTGGGTTGATTCCAAGTCTTTGCTATTGTGAACAGCGCCGCAATAAGCATATGTGTGCACGTGTCTTTATAGTAGCATGATTTATAATCCTTTGGGTATATACCCAGTAATGGGATTGCTAGGTCAAATGGTATTTCTAGTTCTATATCCTTGAGGAATCACTTCAATAAAATACTGGCAAACCGAATACAGCAGTGCATCAAAAAGCTTGTCCACCACGATCAAGCCGGCTTCATCCCTGGGATGCAAGCCTGGTTCAACATATGCAAATCAATAAACGTAATCCATCACATAAAAAGAACCAATGACAAAAACCACATGATTATCTCAATAGATGCAGAAAAGGCCTTCGACAAAATTCAACAGCCCTTCATGATACAAACTCAATAAACTAGGTATTGATGGAATGTATCTCAAAATAATAAGAGCTATTTATGACAAACCCAAGCCAATATCATACTAAATGGGCAAAAACTGGAAGCATTCCTTTTGAAAACTGGCACAGGACAGGGATGCCCTCTCTCACCACTCCTATTCAACATAGTATTGGAAGTTCTGGTCAAGGCAATCAGGCAAGAGAAAGAAATAAAGGGTAATCAATTAGGAAAAGAGGAAGTCAAATTGTCTCTGTTTGCAGATGACATGATTGTGTATTTAGAAAACCCCATCATCTCAGCCCAAAATCTCCTTAAGCTGATAAGCAACTTCAGCAAAGTCTCCGGATACAAAATCAATGTGCAAAAATCACAAGCATTCCTATACTCCAGTAACAGACAAACAGAGAGCCAAATCACGAGTGAACTCCTATTCACAAGTGCTATAAAGAGAATAAAATACCTAGGAATCCAACTTACAAGGGATATGAAGGACCTCTTCAAGGAGAACTACAAACCACTGCTCAATGAAATGAAGACTTTATATATAAGTCATATAATCATACGACTAAGGAACGTGATAGCAGCCTCCAAATATAACATATTTCAAGGCCTCCAAATATAAGGATTTTAAATTATTTTTCTGAACCAAGAGCCTCTGGAACTATAGCAGTGCATGATTCTATTGTTAGTATTACTTTGCTTTGAAAACAAATATTTTGATGTAGATACAATTAAAAAGAAACTCTTGCAAGATCATGTTTATTCTTCAAACCACAGATTCAAATAGTTACTATTTTTTTCCTTCATGTTCACAGTACTGTTAATAAAATTTTCTCCATGGGTTGGTACACTTGAATTGGCATTTTGAGAGACACAGAGGGAGAGATATTGGTGCAAATAGGAAAAGGAATGAAACAGGATATTTATATTGGTTTTAAACATTTTAACATTCATCGTGTGTCATTTTTAACTGACTGATGAAAGGTAAAGATGTCAGAATTTTTCATTTCATGAAACAGCGTGCAGTGTTTGCTATCCTGGAAATTGTTAGTTTTCTAAAGTATAAATATTCTGTTTCATTTTGTTTCCAATTTAGGTTCATGTCTTCCCCATGGCATCTCACGTGGTACAAATCGATATGCGCATTTTTTCAATAATAATAATTTCAATGCTAACTAGGATGTGGTAAGGACTTACCATCACCTGCAAACTTACAATATACTCTCTGCTTCTTGCACACTAAATTGATGAATAAGACCTATTTGTAATTGTGGGTAAGAGATGACAGACAATAAACTTTTTAAAAAGTTTGACTATTAAACAGACATTAAATCAAAAGGAAATTAAATGTTTATTTTTGGGAAAAAAGAGCTCAGATTCTATCTGTATCTTTTGCCAGTGTCCCCTGGTCCTGGTCCAACCTAAGGGAACTATTCTCAGTTCCCTAAAACTTCATATATATGAAATTTTACTTTCATATGCAATTTTTGTATAAAAATTAATATATTTTTATATATTATGTAAAACATTGAAAAGGATATATATTATATATTTTTAATAACTATGGCTCACTCATGCTATTACTTTGGCTGCAAATATAATTGTAGGTTGAATCATTTATTCCCAATTCTTCATTTCTTCCCTTCTCTCTTTTTGCCATGGACTTTTAATAACATCCAACAGAATAGGATGAATTTAACATATGATCCTATGGGTATTGGATTGTCCAAGTGACTCTGGACAATAAAATATGGGTGCAGTTGGCACTATGACATTTCTGGGCTCGGACCTTAAGAGATACCATGGTACCCTGCTCATTCTTTTGCCTTTTTATTGCTGTTAAGAGAAGCACTTCCTTTGTGCAGCTGCTGCCCTTCTGCATGGGTTCCAGAGTAAACGTATGGATTAGGTTTAAACATAGCGCAACAGTAATGAGGAAAGCCCAGCTTTCCCTGTAGCTTGAAGCAGAGCCAACCATCTAGGCTCAGCCAGGATCAGACTACCCCAAAACAACCTGAAAATGGTTAGATGGGTCCAGCAGAGATCATGAGAGTTGGCTCAGCTTAACTACATACAAGGGAAATAATCAATGCTTATTCTTGTATGCCATTGGGATGTTATGACTGTATACCATGCAGCATTGTTGCAGAAATAGCTAACAGATACGAATACCTTTTACCATGTGTATATTTGAGTAAACTATGTTTTAATCTGCCCAAGTCACACCCAAAGTTTTCTCCAACTTTGATCCTTCTCAATCTCAAATGTAGTTTTTTTTGTGTGTGCCCACATGTCCGTAATAATATTCATTATACTTTACTGAAATTTGTTGCTCATGCATTTATCTCTCTCAGTAGAGGATAAGTTACTGGAAGGCAAGGAATGTGTCTTATGTATCTTTGGAGATACAACCTAGCAGAGCACCTCACATGTAGCTGGTGTTTAAATAGACTTTTCTAAATGATGGAATGGATAGATCAATGCCTTTTCCAGTTATTTGATGTCACATGATATTTGGGTATTTAATGTGCTACATATTTATCTGGAAAAGTTTCTAGTTGGAAGGAAGGTGAGACTATCTAAACTATTCAAACATGGGTAGTAATGTCTATTTCTTGTCATCAGTGGAAGCACACTTTGGAGTGAACTCCTAGATTCCAGAAAAATCTGCCTTCTCTTTTTTTTTGCTCCAACGCCATAGAGTGAGCTGAGCTGTAGAGTTTTCCTTCCTAATGGTGTGTAATTTCGTGGTGTTTCACAAATTACAAATTCTGTGATTTCACTCATTATGCATTTTAGCATTAGGAGTTTGGATCTCAGGGTAGGATTGGAAAAACAATGATTGGGCTGCTATTTGCTATGCATGTTAGGAATATAAGGGAATCAACTGAAAGAGGTGGAATCATGACCAGCAAACTTGTGAAGAAAAACAAGTAGAATTGGGGCTTTCTCTTAACTGAGTACCTGACCAAAAATTTGGGGCTGAATTTAAGCCAGAGTAGATCAAATTCTAGGTAGAGACTGTAAAGAGTAGTCGGTACAATGTCAAACAGTTCATAGGACCTCTAGGAAAGCCAGTAATTGATTTCTAGGGTTTTTACTTTCAAACATTTCTAGTTTTGGTAAATTATGATCAGAGTGACATTTGTAATTGTATTAGTCCACTTTCATACTGTTGTGAAGAAATACCTGAGACAGGGTAATTTATAAAGAAAAAGAGATTTAATAGACTAACAGTTGCACATGGCTTAGGAGGCCACACAATCATGGCAGAAGGTGAAGGAGGAGAAAAGGCATGTCTTACATGGTGGCAGGCAAGAGAGTGTGCAGGGGAACTGCCCTTTATAAAACCATCATATCCCATGAGACTTATTCACTATCAGGAGAACAGCACAGGAATAACCTGCCCCCATGATTCAATTACCTCCCACAAGGTCCCTCCCAGGACATGTGGAAATTATAAGAACTACAATTCGAGATGAGATTTGGGTGGGGAGATTTAATACTTTTTTTTTGTTATATTTAAATTATCTTAAATGTTTGTGTGCTTGAGAAAAAGGTGTATTCTTTATTAGCAGGGCATATAGAACAATATATATATAGATTGTGTTGAATAGGTCATCCAAATTCTTGTTTTATTTATATATTTTTGTTTACTCAATGTCTTATACTGATAGCAATTTAAGTCTCCTATTACTAAAGTTTTAACATCTATGATTCTGTGAGTCTCTTGTTTTTTATTTATATAGGTGGTTGCTATGTTATGTGGTGCATAGATGTTTATTCTTATTCATTATGAATTGTCATATTTTCATTAAATATGCTTTTCTTTGAATGTATAATGTGATTAGGTATGTATTCTACTTTTATTATCACTGTCATTACCCCTGCTTTCTTATTGCTTTTTAAATTTTTTTTCTAATATATCTTAACACTTACTCTTTAGTCTTTTTCAATGCAAGTATTCAGTTTCTTTTGTGTGCCTTTTATAAACAGCATATAGCTGAGTCTTTGTAAATCAGATTATAGTTTCTCTCTTTCTCTCTTCTTTCTTTCTCTCTCTCTCTTTTCTTTCTTTCTTTCTTTCTTCTTTTTTTTCTTTTTTGAGACAGAGAGTCTCACTCTGTCACCAAGGCTGAAGGATAGTGTTGTGATCACTACTCACTGCAGCCTCAAACTCCTGGACTCAAGTAATCCTTCCCCATCTATCTCCCAAGTAGCTGGGACTACAGGTGTGCACCACCATGCCTGGATACTTTTTTGATCTTTCATTTTGTTTTGTTTTGAGACGGGGTCTCCCTTTGTTGCCCAGGCTGGTCTCAAAGTCTTGAGCTCAAGCAATGCTCCTGCCTTGGCCTTCCAAAGTGCTGGAATTATAGGCATGAGCTACCATGTCAGGCAAAATCTTTTCTTTTGTAAATAGGTGAGTTAATATTCACAACAGCAAAGACATGGAATCAACCCAAATGCCCATCAATGATAGACTGGATAAAGAAAATGTAGGCTGGGCGCGGTGGCTCACGCCTGTAATCCCAGCACTTTGGGAGGCCAAGGCGGGTGGATCATGAGGTCAGGAGATCGAGACCATCCTGGCTAACAAGGTGAAACCCCGTCTCTACTAAAAATACAGAAAATTAGCCGGGCGCGGTGGCGGGCGCCTGAAGTCCCAGCTACTTGGGAGGCTGAGGCAGGAGAATGGCGTGAACCCGGGAAGCGGAGCTTGCAGTGAGCCGAGATTGCGCCACTGCAGTCCGCAGTCCGGCCTGGGCGACAGAGCGAGACTTAATGTAGTATGTATATACCATGGAATACTATGCAGACATAAAAAGGAATGAGATCATGTCCTTTGCAGGGACATGGATGGAGCTGGAAGCCATTATCCTCAGCAAACTAATGCAGAAACAGAAAACCAAACACCGCATGTTCTCACTTATAAGCAGGAACTGAACAATGAGAACATACGGACACAGGGAGGGGAACAACACACACTGTAACCTGACAGGGGTTGGGGTGTGGGGAGGGAGAACATTAGGAAAAAATAGGTAGTGCATTCTGGGCTTAATACCTAGGTGATGTGTTGATCTGTGCAAAAAACCACCACAGCACACATTTACCTATGTAATAAACATGCACATCTTGCACATGTATACCGGAATTAAACTAAAAATAAAAATTAAAAAATAAATAAATAAAATAAATTGGTGAGTTAAACCCATTAGCATTTATTGAAAAGATTAATGTGTTTGGCCTCAACTCTGCCATATTATCTTAGTTTATAATTAATACTTAGACAAATAGTTTATGTTTTTTCTCTATACAATATATTTTCTTTAATTTTAAAATTTTTAATTTATTATAGTATTTAGGAAGCTTTGTGGTTTTGCTTTATTGAATATCTTATACTTTTTAAAATGCCCTTTATCCCCTATTTTCATGTTCAAAATATTTCCATTTGGTTTGTCATTTATCTGTGACATCCTTTAACTCACATTTATTTCTTATAAAATAGCCAAATCATTTAGTCTACTTTCCATTCTTCTTTACTTTTCTCTTTCCATTTTTCAGTGGCATGATTTCTACTTGGTCAGAATATAAAATGGATAAACTATATATCATATAGCATATTATTCTTTTACTCCCTGCCCACCTTAATCTCTTACAAATGCAATAACTAAGATCAAATGTGAATATCAATTTGTATATTAATAAACTTTGCTCTTTATTAATCCTTTGCTCAGTTTCCCCAGGCATCTTTTGGTTGGATACAGTTTGTGTTCTAGTAGACTTTTCAAGGAGGGCTCACGGTTTCAGAATTCTTCGAGTTCTTTTGTCTAACATTTTTGTAAATAGCCTTGATACTTGATGGACAGTTCTGTTGATAACAAACTGAAGGAAAAAAAAATGTAATGCCAGCTTTATTTCAGGCTTTCTTTCCCAGCATTGATTGAAAATGCTTCTCCTCTTTGCCTCGTTTTGTATTTTGGTCTAAGGCCAATCACTCTTTTTCCCTTGTGAAATATTTTATCTTTCTGCTGAAGGTCCTAAGGATGGTCTAAAAATCTCTACAGACTATGATCTTTACTTGTATATATCATAGAGTTTATCATTGCAGGTCAATTTTTACAGGCACCCCACAGACCCTATAAATATGTTGATACAAATTTTCTTTTATTTCTGGAAAGTGGTCTTGTATAATCATTTTAATCGTTTTGTTTTTTATCTTAGCTTCCTCAGGGACTCTAAATATACAGATGTTATTTTTTCTTTGTCTTCAATTTCAAACATTTTTTCTTACATCATTTTAATTTACTTACCACATTTTCAATGCATTGTTTTCCTGTCTACTTCAGTGCCTTTTTAATGTTTTCATTCAAATTTCTTTTTACCTTAAGTACTGCATAAGTTAGTTGTAATTTCTAATATGACTTTGTCTTTTTTTTTCTGTTTTCTTCCAGGAATCAATCAATTTATATTTTATTTCTTCCTTTTTTTGTCCATTTCTATTTTTGCTTTTTGAAGTTCTGATGCAAATTGTCTTCTCAGTCCATGCTTGGTGGCTCACACCTGTAACCCCAGCACTATGGGAGGCCAAGGCAGGAGGATTGCTTGGGACTAAGAGTTTGAGAGCAACCTGAGCAACATAGTGGGACCCTGTTTCTACAAATAATAATAAGAAGAAAAATAGCCAAGCATGATGACGGGCGCCTATGGTCCCAGCTACTCGAGAGGCTGAGGTGGGAGGATCGCCTGAGCCCGGGGAGTTCGAGGCTGCAGTGAGCTGTGATCCTGCCACTGCATTCTAGCATGGGTGGCAGAGTGAGACCCTGTCTCAAACACACACACACACACACACCTCAAATTATCTTCTCACATCTCCCAATACTTACTTGAATATATTTATTTCAGGTTTGAATGTTATATTTCAGGTATTTAAATATATAGACTGTCTCTCTGTATAAATTCAGTATATATATATGTATTCAGTATATATATATATGTATACACACATTCAGTGTATATATATATATTCAGTATATATATATTCAGTATATATATATTCAGTATATATATATATTCAGTATATATATATATATTCAGTATATATATATATATGAGAGAGAGAGAGAGAGAGAGAGAGAGAGAGAGAGAGAGAGAGAGAGAGAGAGACCCTGACGAACCCCCTCCAGTAGACACTGTTCACTCTGCGTTTCTATGGTCAGACAGTTTTGGAATGGTTTGTAAGATTCCTAGTTCAAGAGTGCCCTCTATCGTCAGAGTAGCAAAGTACGTTTCCTTCCAGTTTGGGAGGAGAGGGAGGGGCTGGGGGAGAGGTTGTGTTTTCTTTGATACCTTTTACTCTATTTTATCTTGCAACATCCTGAACTTTCTCTTCTTGCTTTTCTTTCTTTCCTATGCAGTTTTCAAAGGGTGACTCTCCTTTTCTTTTCACCCATTTCTGCCCACAAAGCCCTTTTTAGCCTTTTTCCTATATTCAGTGCTTTGATCTACTTATATGCTTTTTCATCATTTTCACACAGAAGGTAGACTTTCTCTATATAATATGGCTTTAGGAAAAAATTAAAGACCCAAAGATACCTCTTCGCTTTTCTCTTCAACAGTTTTTTTTTTTTTCAAACTTTACTTGCGTTTTCAAATTCTTCTGGCCAGAAACAGAGAAAGCTGGCAAGAATTGGGCATTATTGTTCTACCTACAGGCAATTACATTTTAGCTGTTCACTCTCTTAATGTTATGTGGGCAGCTTGGATTTCTGTAGTTTTATTTATTCTTGTAGTTCTTTACTGCTTCTGTTACTGCCCTGGTTGGGTACATTAAATTTACAAGCCTGATATTGCCTTGGCAATATCTTAGTCAGTTTCAGCTGCCATAACAAATTACCATAGGCTGGCTAGCTTAGGCAAAAACCACTTATTTCTCACAGTTTTGGAGGCTGGAAGCCTCAGCTCAGGATGTCCGCATCATTCATGCTGGTGAAGGTTCTCTTCCAGTTGCAGACAGCCGACTTCTTGTATCTTTACACGGCACAAAGAGGGCAAGCAAGTAGTTCTCTGATATCTTCTTATAGGGGCATTAATCCCATCCATGAGGGCTCCACCCTCATGACCTAATTACATTCCAAAGGCTCCAACTCTGGATGCCATCCCATTGGGGATTAGAGTCCAACATATAAATTTGGGGGAAACACAAACAGTCATAACAGCTACCTGGAATTACCTGCCTAATAATTTTTTAGTGGGCATTGGGCATAGTGACTCACATTGATGAGGGTCTGGATTGTGTTGTCTTCCTTTAAACACGTTGAATATTGTTTTTTGGAGCAGTTTGAGACTTCCTAGGTTTGCTTGTGTTTAAATATTGTTAGTGTTTGTCTACCATATTTCTTATTCTGGAGACAGTTTTGCCCTGCTACTAAGGTGTGACTCATCTGGTGCCTACTGGATACCCTAGATGTACAAGGAGCCAACTCTACTCTGACTAGTCAGAAGTAAAAAGACTCACAGCCTTATGTGAGCTCTGGGAATTGTTTATATTTTAGCTTTCTGATAGCGTACCTTTGCCTGGGTTTACAAAATTATCCCCTACACATATGCACCTTTGTATTGAATAACATATTCATAAAACATTTTGCAAATTTCTGTAGCTCTCTTTCTGCATAACTCTATCCTTTCCAGTATTCTGCATTAAAAATCTGCCTTAGCCTACCTTAAATCTGATATTTGCCTCCAAATCCCAAGAATATTGCCTAGCGATGCTGGGGTTCCTCCTCCCTGTACTGGATCTAAAAAGTTTTCCAGGCTGAAAGCTGGGGAAACTGTAAGGTTCACTTCATTTATTTCCTGTCTCTCAGGTATAATAATCCTATGCTGTCTGTTCTACAATGTCTGACAAAATTTGTTTCATGAATTTTGTCTAGTTTCCTTGTTTCAATTAAAGACCTGAATCAGTTACCCCATTATATTAAAAGTGGAAAATTTGGACTGCATTAATTTTTAAAAGCTTTATAGCTGACATTAATGTGAAACTAGTTTTAGGAACCACTACTTCAGCTTCATAAGGAGTGATAAGATAAAAGAACATAATGATTATCTTGATAATTGGGAATGCTATAAATAGCTAATAGCCATTGAGTGTTTATTGCACTGTAACTGTTCCAAGAACTTTGAAGATGAATTAATCAATATTTATCTTTCAGGTTCCCTTTAACAATTCAATCAAGTCCAAGTAGAAGTGAAAGCTGGGTGATATATTGGGAAAATATGTGCAGGGACCAGACCTAGGGAATCAAGTTGGACACCAGGACACATATTCTCACTCCTTTCATTTCTCCCATTCCCTCCTCCTCCTGCTGCTCCTCCTCATCCTCCTCCTCCTCCTCCTGCTGAACCTCCTCTCCTCCTTCTTCTTTTTTTTCCTTCTTCTCTCCTCTCCACCTCCCTACACATACACACACACAGTATATATGTTAGTTTGCTTTTGACTGCAAGAAAAACCTTGAATCAACTCAATAAATAATGATGACATGTGTAACTAACGTAATAGCAAGTCCAGAGGTAGAGAAGACACCAGAATGTGTAATTTGGGCAATCATATGTATCATCAAGAATCTTAGTTTAGTTTTGTTTTGTTTTGCTTTGTGTGAGCTCTGACAACTTTGTGTTGTTCAATATGATTTATGGATAACTGCAGTTGTTTCATGAAATACATGGAAACACAGCAACATAGAGAGGGTGGAAAATATTGTCTCTTCTTAATGAGAAAAAAATTCCCTTTTCTTAGTAGAACACTTTTCATTTTCCAAATTCTTTGGTCAGAATTAGGACACGTGCTCATCTCGGAGTCAATTGCTGGCCTGAGTTGAGGGTACATAACCTCCCAGGCACTTCAGGGGGACCTCATCAGCCAAGGTAAATTCTTTGGTGAACCATGCATGTGTGTACAAGGACAAGTCAGAACCCGCAGTAGGGGGAGGGGTTTGCTGTTACAGAAGAGAGGATTGGGCAGAACGCTAACAACAGTGCTGCTTATTATAACCCCCCTTTGACAAATGGTGTATCAGAGGCTCACTGTGTTTAACCAACCTGCTCAGAATAACACAGGCAAGGGTTGGAGGAGGTAAAATTGGAAGCCGCACTGTTTGACTCCAATGTTGAAGCTTTTAATAAATATTCAATAAAATGGCTTTAAAAACAAAAGGGTTATGAACCTATAGTAATATCAGTGATAATGTATCTTAACTCATTTCTCAGATATCTTTAATTAGCAATAATTGTTTGCATTTTCCTTCTAGTAATATGCACATAGGAGTGCCAGGAACCTGCTAGACATCGCCTGTGCTTTGCCCTGTATTTGGAAGCCCATTGGGAAATTTGAAAAGGTCTGAGAAGAATCATCCCGTCTGTTAAGTGATAATTTGAGAAGAAAGAAACATCGTCCTTGAAGTGCAGAGAGTTGCTTCTCTCTTGACACCTTAGAGGCAAGTCCAGGGAGCAGAATTAAGTGACAGTAAAAGGAAAAGATCACATGTATCACAGGAATGAGAAATCCTTATGGCTAAGTCAGCTTTCCACAGTTAGGCTACACTTTGATGTTGGCAAAAGTTTCCCTAGTGGGAGAGACATAGGGAAAAGGGCAGAGGAATAAAGAGACAGCTTCACTTACCCAGTCTAAGTAAAGAGGTGAACAGTTCATCCATCTAATATTTAATATGGGCTTCTCTTGTGAAGAGCTGGAAATGCATTTATTAAAGTCTGCATAAGCAGTTGAGTTATAACCTCCAAAATAAACTGGAAGAAATAAAGGAAAAGAAACTGACTTACTGAAAAGTTTATAAGCCCTCACAGAGAGCCAAGCTGCAAACAAGAATCCATGCAGAGCTGAAGGGATGTCTCCGGGGGATTAGTTGCAGAATTGTTTTCTCTAGTGGATGCTGTAGTGTATGGACCGATTCCTCCATTGATGGCCAAACTACTCATTCCCCCACCTGCTGAGAATCAGAGTGTGGACGGCTGATGACTCATGACTGAGTTCCTTACCAGGAATTAACCTTGACTGGGCCCAAGTGTATGCTCCCTGTCTGGGTTCAAATTAAAATCCAAAACGTAGTCTATGTGGGAGTACAGATACCCAGTCATCATGTCTCAGTTTGGGGCAGCTCTGATGGGTCCTCCCAGTTCTAGAACCAGCTGTAGTCTTTATTGTAATGGCATCATAGTTCAGCTTGCCCTTGCCTAATTCTGCTGCCTTCCTTTCTTCACTGGTGTTCTTTCCCAAACAACTCGGGAATAAATTCCCTGCATGCAAATCTTTGCCTCCAAGTCGGTTTTCTCTGAAACTAGACCTCAGAAACTTCAACATAGTGAAACTCATAGTGAAACCTTATCCTTTGTCTGGGACTGATGGTTTCTCTGGCATGTGGGACATTCAGTCCCTAAAGTGGAAGAGACCCAAGCAAACCGGAATGGTTATTCATTGAACCTCAATGATACAGTTAAAATAGACTGAAAATTCTACTCAAAGATGAGCCAAAAATGTCATGAAAATTCTGTCATCAACATGTGCATGGAAGTCTTTTTCTTTTTCTTTTCTTTTCTTTTTTTTTTTTTTTTGAGATGGAGTCTTGCTTCATCACCTAGGCTGGAATGCAGTGGCTCAATCTCAGCTCACTGCAACCTTCGCCTCCTGGGTTCAAGTGATTCTCCTGCCTCAGCCTCCCGAGTAGCTGGGATTACAGTCCCCTTCCATCACGCCCAGGTAATTTTTGTATTTTTTTTTTTTAGTAGAGACAGGGTTTCACCATGTTGGCCAGGCTGGTCTTGAACTCCTGACCTCAGGTGATCCATCCACCTTGGCCTCCCAAAGTGCTGAAATTAGAGGCGTGAGCCACTGCACCTGGCTGGAAGTCTGTATCTTTTGCTGGTATATAAAAAATCTTTGTGTTTTCTTTCTATGCCTCTGGTAACCAGCCTTCATAGCTTTTTCTGCTATAAATCCCCCCTATATACTGCTGATAGGGTGAACTTCCTGACTTGAAACTCCAATAGAGAGTTATCCTCTCACCTCATCAGAGAACCTTGCCATGGTTCTCTAATTCTTCCATTTTGTTCTCTAAGCTGCTTCCAGTGAGATATTTCTGAAGTGGAGTTGTGATCATGTCCCTGCTTCTTAACACCACGCCACAGCTCTGTTTTACCTTTGGCAGAGTCTGAATTCCTACCCTCAATGTTTATTGAAGACATGACCTCTTAGCTCTCCAGCTCTTGTGCTTCCACTCCCCTTTTCTCTCCAGCCATCCATGACTACCAAGTTATAGTGCTAGTGATAAGGCTTCCCCTCTTTCAGTCAGAGCCTTTGTTAGAAAACCCCTTCCTCTCTCCTTTGCCTGACAATTTTCAATGTGATTCATTTTTCCCACTCTGTTTAGATGTGTCATGTCTTCTACTAGGAAGCCTTACATGGTGCCCCTGGCCACCCTGGTTTGGATTAGATAGCCCTTCTTGTGTGCTCATAGACTCCCACCTGGACTTCCATAGCTGTCTATCACGTCTCCCTACTTTTAGTGCACACCTTCTCTGGCTTCTATACTGAAGGCAGAAAGTTCTATTCACAATGAGAATCGGATTATATCTCACTTCTTGCCCAATTTCACACAACTGTGTTAACAAAAAATCAGTAGCTGCCTCACTGATCTTAGAATAAAGATTGTTATTTTTATTTATTTATTCATTTATTATTATTATTATTTCATACAGAATCTCACTCTGTCGCCCAGGCTGGAGTGCAATGGTGCGATCTCGGCTCACTGCTACCTCCACCTCCTGGGTTCAAGTGAGTCTCATGCGTCAGCCTCCCGAGTAGCTGGGATTACAGGCGCCTGCCACCCTGCCCAGCTAATTTTCATATTTTTAGTAGAGATGGGGTTTCACCAGCTTGGCCAGGCTGGTCTCAAACTCCTGACCTTGTGATCCACCTGCCTTGGCCTCCCAAAGTGCTGGGATTACAGGTGTGAGCCACCGCACCCGGCCTGGAATTGTTATTTTTAAAGTGATTTCTATGAGATGCTATGTCTACAGTCTCAGTTTACTTTGCTTCAGCTTTTCTGGCCTTCCTTTACTCCCCAAGACATTTCATGCTTCTCTTGTCACTGTGCTTCAGATGTGCAGGTGCTCCTAGACAGGTTCTCTCCTCCTGCTCCCTATGCTTCTCCAAAGTCTATTCAAGCACTACCTTTATTTACATCCTTCGGATATTCACTTTACATATGTGGCTTTCAGCCTTCTAGTGAAACCTACTCTTATATCCCATACTTCATAGAAACCTGTACTTCCTATGCATAGCTTATATGGTAGATGTAATTGTCTTAGTTCCGTTTTCTTTTCCTAAATAGACTCTGAGATGGAGATTTATGTGTAAGACTTTTATGGGTGAATATGCTTTCAAGCAAAACCTGTGGGTGACTAAAAGAGGTAAGAGTAGACAGTGGAAGTTATCAAACTGTACATAGGCACTACAATCCAACAGTAATATTGGAGTTGGGATGGCTTTTTCTAATTGTTGTCTTTTGAGACTATGTTAGTACATTTTTATGTTACTATAAAGGAATGTCAGAGACTAAGTTATTTATAAATAAAAGATGTTTATGTTGGCTTACAGTTCTGCACGTTGTACAGGAAGCATAACTCTAGCATCTGCTTCTGGTGAGGGCCTCATGAAGCTTACAGTCATGGCAGAAGGTGAAGAGGAGCCAGTGTGTCACATGGTGACAGAGGGAGCAAGAAAGAGGGGGGGAAGTGCCACGCTTTTTAAAACAACCAGATCTTATGTGAATGAAGAAAGAGATCTCACTCATTACCACAGGGAGGGCACCAATCATGAGGGATCTGCCACCATGACCCAAATATCTCCCACGAGGCCCCACCTCCAACCCCAGGAATCAGATTTCAATATGACAATTTGGAGGGGAAAAAACACCCAAACTATATCATTATGCCCCTGGCCTCCCAAATCTCATGTCCTTCTCACACTGCGAAATACAATCATCCCATCCCAACAGTCCTCAAAACTCTTAATGCATTCCAGCATCACTCAAAAGTCCAAAATCCAAAGTCTCATCTGAGACAAGGAAAGTCTCTTCCACTTATGAGCCTTAAAATGAAAACCAAGTTATTTACTTTCAAGACACAATGGTGGCACAGGCATTAGGTAAATATTCCCATTCTAAAAGGGAGAAATCAGCCTAAAGGAAGGGGCAACAGGCCTCACACAAGTATGAAACCCAATAGGGCAGTCATTAAATATTAAAGCTCCAAAATAATCTCTTTTGACTTCGTGTCACATATCCAGGGCATACTGATGTAAAGAGTGGGCTCTCAAGGCCTTGGGTACACTTGCCCCTGGGACTTTTCAGGATGTAGCCCTTGTGGTTGTTTTCTCAAGTTGGATTTGAGTGCCTGTAGGTTTTCTAGGCTAGGATTGCAAGCTGCCAGTGGTTTTACCATTCTCAGGTCTGGAGGGCAGCAGGCCCCTTCCCATAGCTCCACTAGGCAGTGCTCTGGTGGGGACTCTGTGTAGAGGCTCTGCTCCTGCAGCAGGTTTCTGCCTGAGCACCCAGACTTTCCTGTACATTCTCTGAAATCCGGGTAGAAGCTGCCAAGCCTTCTTAAATCTCACATTCTGTGCACTTGCAGGCTTAACACCACATGGAAACTGCCAAGGCTTATGGCTAGTACCTTCTGGAGCTGTGGTCTGAGCTATGCCTGGGGCCCTTTGAACTCTGACTAGAGCCAGAGGGGCCAGGATGTGAGGAGCAGTACCCTGAGGTGGTGCAGGGCAGTGGCACCATGGGCTTGGCCCCTAAAACCATTCTTTTCTCCTAGTCCTCTAGGCCTGTGATGGGAAGGGCTGCTTCAAAGACTTCTGAAATGCCTTTAAGGCTATTTTTTTCATTGTCTTGGATATCAGCACTTGGCTCCCTTTCAGTCATGCTAATTGCTCTAGCAAGTGGTTTTTCCAAAGCCTCCTTTCATTCCTCTCCTGAAAATGCTTTTTCTTTCTCTACCACATGGCCAGGCTACAAATTTTCCAAACTTTTGCACTGTTTCCCTTTCAATTATAAGTTTCAACTTTAAGTCATTTTTTTGCTCGTATATCAGATTATAGATAGTTAGAAGCAGCCAGGCCACATCTTGAATCCTTGCTTCTTAGAAATTTCTTCTGCCAGATACCCTAGGTCATCACTTCTAAGTTCAATCTTCCATAAATCCCTAGCACACGTTCATAATGTGGTTAAGTTCTTTGCTAGGGCATAAGAAGTATGACCTTTGTTCTAATTCCTAATAAATTACACATTTCTCTCTGAGACTTCATCGGCCTGGCTTTCACTGTCCAATTTCTATCAGTATTTTCGTCACAACCATTTAACCAGTCTCTAAGAAGTTCCAAAAGGTTTGTTTTGGCTCACAGTTCTGCAGGCTGTATAGGAAGCATGGCACCAGCATCTGCACCTTCTGAGGGCTTCAGGAAGCTTCCAATCATGGCAGAAGGTGAAGGGGGAGCAGGTGCATCAAATGGTGATAAGGAGCAAAAGAGACAGGGGGTAAGTACCACACACTTTTAAACAACCAGTTCTCATGTAAACTCATTACCATGAGGAGAGCACCAAGATATTCATGAGGGGATCCGCCCCTATGACCCAAACACTTCCCACCAGGCCCCACTTCCAACATTGGGGATTAGATTTCAACATGAGATTTGGATGGAACAAACATCCAAATTATTTCAGAGACACCTGTTAGAATTAGAATGGAAATGTCTTTGTGGGGAGAGGGAGATCATTATTCTGACTGTCAAAAAGGTGGATGCATTTTCTTGGGTATTAACATGTGATACAAGAATATTTATATTTCTGCTTATGAGCATAAGTTTATTTATATGTATACATCTTTAGTCTCCTTATCCCTATTATTCTAGTTGTTTTCTTTACAGGCCCTTGACCATTGAGCCAAGCTATTAGCCAATGGTTATTAGTTCATATTTATATTCTTTACTTTGAGCCACTTATATTTCCAGAAAACATGTGTGACCGGGTGTTTTACCTGAAGGTTAATTCATTGTCAGGATTCATTTCTACAGCTCTTTTTTTAAGGAATATGTCCATTGGAGTTTTAGGGTAGCACACACATACTGAGCCAAGTCATCTGTGGCCTAACCCGAATTAGTGGTCTGGTAGTCAGAGGAGAAGTATAAGAGGATCCTTATGGGCATGAATATTTTCTTGCAAGGCAAAGTTTCTGAATCATCTTCAAGTAAAAAGAAAGTCATATCCTCTAACAAGGAATGGGCCACTTCTCTGAGCCCAGATATTTCAGAGAGATCTGGGGATTTAAGATTTTATATGTATGGACTCATATATCCCCATCTCCTGTCTCTGGTTTTGCTCCTTCTTAATTAGGGCCAGACCACAGTATGGCTAAAATGAAGAATTCAACTTCCACTGGAGTTAAAATACTCTTATATAAGCTCTGGGTCTGAAAACCTTTTTATATCCTTAGACTTTGAAAAATGAGTCACTTCATGTGCTATCATGATGGTCCATTGGCTTTTACACTTAGATTTTAATTGCTGATTACTCACCCTCAGCTTTAAGCCAAAAAAGATGGGAACTTATACCCCTCCCCCATCCCATCCCCCCTCCATTAATCAGTATTGAATGTGGGTTACTCCCGTGAAAGGGGCATGACCTTGACTAAGAGGGCCCTTTCAAGCTGAGAGCAATTGGTGGAGAACGTCAAAGCTGAAAGCTATAGTAACTACCCATACTCCCAACAGCAGGAGAAATGAGTGCCTCAAATTTTTGCAAGAGGTATGTGGCACACCACAGAATTTATTATATGTGTGTATTTACTGAGCCATGAAACTCAAATACCTAGTATAGTTTTGGCATGCTGTGAGTGTTTATGGGGGGGGGTGAGGGATGGGGAGTATACACATGCATCTGCATTTAACTTTTATCTTATTAATTATCACACTAAACTTCAGTGTTCTTTTGTTGACCTCCCTTCTCCTGGGCAGCTAAAACTCCTTTTGGGTAGAAATATGCCATGCTTGTCTCAGATTGTTAGGTACAATAGGTACAAAGCATGGTTCTCACCATAGCATAGATAATAAATGTCAGTTTCTCAACTGATACATTAAACGGGCTGATGAATGAAGGAGCTTAATGATTCATTAATTCATTCACTTAGGGTCGTATCTGATGGCCTTTCTAACAATAATACAAGTCTGCTTTTGGTAGCACTACTGATGCTGTGTCCATGAGTTTAAATTCTATATTTTGCTTCTTATAAGGAGGCCCTAGAATTCATCACAAGGTACATGGGAACATAAAGTTTGGGATGTTGCCAGGACCACATATGACAAGTGAAATCTTAATGTTTCAGTCTCCTGATCAGAACTTAAAGGACTCTAGGCTAGCCAGAATTGTAAAATCGGCAAAACGGCAGGCAAGATCAATATCACTTTCTTTCCTATACTTTCTAACCTCCTTGCAATAAGTCAAGACCTGGTAACTCATCTAAATGATGCAATGTGAGTGTAATTTATTTATATCGCTTTTTGAGAGATGTCTGGGTCAACTTTTCACAAGTCATCACTCTTTCTCTTCCCCTGTGTTACATACTGAGAAGAGGCAGGTGTCACAGATTGTGCCACTATAACATGGGCTAGCCTGTGTCAGCCAGGCTCCCTGGGTGACCGTGTTGAGCAAAACCCCACACTGGCATGCATGGAACATTTAGAGTAAGTGATAAGTAGATTTTATCGTTCTTTGCAAATGAGATTTGGGGTTGTCAGGAATATAACCTAGATTATCCAGCTTATTATAGAATAGGTAGAAATAAGCATGGACAGCTGAATCAACATGTGAAAAAGAGCTTATAAAGTAATATTTTGGTAAGACCAGCTTAGTAGAAATGAGTTTTTCTAAAACTGTGAGCAAGAGCCATATTAGCTGAAAAACTACAAAGATGGATGATATCAGAGGGAAGTCTAAAGGAAAAGGGCCTGCTAAATAAAAATCATAACAGTGTGTAAATAATTGAGTTGATCTATCTATCTATCTATCTATCTATCTATCTATCTATCTATCATCTATGTATCCTATCTATCTATCTATCTATCTATCTATCTATCTATCTATCTATCTATCTATCTATCTATGTATTCTATCTATCTATCTATCTATCTATCTATCTATCTATCTATCTATCTACCTACGTATCTATCTATCTATCTGTGTGTCATCTATCTTTCTATCTTTTGTCATCTATCTCTTGAACCCAAGCGTTATAGGGCCAATGGTGCACTTGTTCTTAATCTGTGCTCATTATCTTTCTAATTCTCCTTTCCTGCTTCTTAAAATAGTTTTAATATGCTCTTATGAAATTTCATAGCTGCAGAGGGTCAAATCCACCCCCCAAATGTAGAGCAAGTCATGATTGTCACAGCTTCAAGAAAATCACATTACAAAAAATATGCTACACTTATTCCCATATCAGTCATACCTTTCCATATGCAGAGTTTGTACGAGGGAGTGAAAATGAGGAGTACCACAGTGACTATGCAACCCAGACACCATTATTGATGTTGCAGAATTAAAGTCGTCAAGCTATCGTTGCCACCAGCAGTATAATTTTTTAAGGACTTCTAAAAACCTTTTAACTCCTGTCATGGTTCAAGTAGTTGGCAGGGCCTAAATTTGACTTTGAGCTTCAGATTTGGAAAATCAAGGAATTCAAAGTGAATCTCAGCCAGCTTCCCTTAGCCTCCTCTGACTTTCCCCTCAGACTATAAATGGATCCTGTTTTTGAAAGCAAGCCCAGATTTCCTTAAAACATGTTCCAGTCTCTTGA